>NC_000002.12:57463079-57766109 GCF_000001405.40 Homo sapiens
TATACATTGTGGAGTGACTAAATCAAGCTAATTAAGATATTCATCACCTTACATAATTATTTGTTTATTGATAACATTTAAAACCTACTCTCTTTGCAATTTTTAAGTATACAGTACCTTATTATTTACTATAGTAATCATGCTGTACAATATATTTCTAGAAGTAATTCCTTCTAATTGAAACTTTATACTCTTTCACCAACAGCTGACCAACCAACCCCCCGAGCCCCCAGTCCCTGGTAATCACAACACTACTCTCTGTTTCTATGAGTATGACTATTTTAGATTTCACATATATGTAAGATCATGCGGTATTTTTCTTTCTGTGCCTGGTTTATTTCACTTAGCATCGTGTCTTGCAGGTTTATCCATGTTATTGAAAATGACAGGATTTCCTTTTCTTCAGGCTGAATAATATTTCATTGTGTACACATTTTCTTTAATCATTTGTCTCTTTATGGGCACACATTTATTTCATATCATTGTAGTCATGAATATTGCCACAATGAACATGGGAATACAGATGTCTCTTCAGCATGCTGATTTCGTTCCCTTTGGGGATATACATATATATATATAATATATAAAAATATATATACACACACACACAATTATATATTAAAATATATTTTATACATATTATATATATATATAAGGAGACTTGCTGTATCATACGGTAGTTTTATTTTTAATTTTTTGAGGCATCTCCATAGCATTTTCCGTAATAGCTGTGCTAATTTATATTCACACCATCAGTGAGCAAGAGTTCCACCTTCTCCACATCCTTGCCAACACTTCTTATCTTTCGTTTTTTTGATAACAGCTATTCTAACAGTTGCAAGGTGATATCTCACAGTGGCTTTAATTTGCATTTCTCTAATAATTAGTGAAGCTGAGCATTTTTTCATAGACCTCTTGGTCATTTCAATGTTTTTTTTTTTTTTTTTGAGATAGGTCTATTTAGGTCCTTAGTCCCCCCTTTTTTTTTTTTTTTTTTTTGAGATGGAGTCTCACTCTGTCACCCAGGCTGGAGTACAGTGGCACGATCTTGGCTCACTGCAACCTCCACCTTCTGGGTTCAAGGGATTCCCCTGCCTCAACCTCCTGAGTAGCTGGGATCATAGGCATGCACAACCATGCCCAGCTAATTTTTGTTTTTGTTTTTGTTTTTTGTATTTTTAGTAAAGACGAGTTTCAACCATGTTGGCCAGGCTGGTCTCAAACTCCTGACCTCCCAAAGTGCTGGGATTACAGGCTTGAGCTACCATGCCCCGCCCCTTAGTCCATTTATTAATCAACTTATTTGTTTTCTTGCTATTGAGGTGTGTTTTTTTTTGTTTTTTTTTTTTGTTTGTTTTTTTTTTAGTTTCTTATATGTTTTTCACTTGATCTTAGCCAAAAAAAAAGGAGCATTGGCCGGGCGCGGTGGTTCACGCCTGTAATCCCAGCACTTTGGGAGGCTGAGGCGGGTGGATCACGAGGTCAGGAGATCGAGACTATCCCGACTAACAGGGTGAAACCCCATCTCTACTAAAAATACAAAAAAATTAGCCAGGCGTGGTGGAGGGCGCCTGTGGTCCCAGCTACTCGAAAGGCTGAGGCAGGAGAATGGCCTGAACCCAGGAGCCAGAGCTTGCAGTGAGCCGAGTTCATGCCACTGCACTCCAGCCTGGGCGACGGAGCAAGACCCCATCTCAAGAAAAAAAAAGGAGCATTGATTTTCTTTTATATTTTGGATATAAACATCTTAGGTTTGCCAATATTTTCTCTCATTTCTTTAGTTTGCCTCTTCACTCTGTTGATTATTTTCCTTACTGTGTTGATTTTTTTTGTTTGATACTATCCCATTTATGTTTGCTTTCCTTGCCTATGCTTTTGGGATCACAGTCAACAAATCGTTGCCAAGGTCAAATTGTGGTAAGTTTCAAATGTTCTAGATTTTCTATCCTATTCCTCCATTGTTTTGCAAAGCCCCTTCTTCTAAGGTTCTCAGAGAAGTCAATATAACCAAATTTTATGAATACGAATCATAAATTGTAGTTTAAAAAGAGACTTTAGCGTTCATTTAGCCTACTCCTTTTTGTTTAATTTAAGAGAAATTAAGTGGAGGGGAGCAGTAGCACAGTTTGTCAAGAGAATACCTGACTGTGGCCTTAGACATAGACACCAATACCTCGTTTGCCACTCAGAGACTACGTGACTTCGAACAAATCACCTAGCGCATCTGAGTTTCAGTTTCATTATCTGTTAAATGGGGATTATAACATTATAACATCTTCTTTGAAATGCAATTTTGAAAATTAAATTAGTAAACATAAATTCAAGAGTCTCAATGTAAATGATATTCCTTAAGGACATACAGCTAGATATTTTCAGATATGCAAAATCAGAAATTTCTGACTTCCAATACAGTTACCATTCCCAATGTTCACCCCTGCTTCAAGAAGTGTAAAATTCGCTGGTAATATAGGAATCTCATACAGAGTGCTTACATTACAATGCACACTGATGATATAGAATAAATCCACAAATCAAAAAGAGATTGGCCATTTTCTATCAAAAGAGGTAGAGACAACAGAAACAACAATATAATAGAGGCATCCCTGGTATCTGAGGCAGATTGGAAGTGGCTACATTTAGATTATCTATCTTTGTCTCTATATCTGTCTCTCTCTTTATCTTTCTTTCTCTCTCTCTCACCGCCAGAACATAGTAAGTAAGATATATTAATCAAAATTGTCATTTCAGCATATCAGATTGGATAAAAAGAAAGTAAATGAAAGCCAAAAAGGGGAAAATTCTGAGTTCTTTTTCTTTCATTCACTCACACTTCTAGAGCGTTTTTCCAATTCAGAGTGTTCTGACATCTCAGTAATGACAGTAATATCCTGTTAGAGCAAACATCTCTCAGACCCGATTCTGCTGCAGAACTAAAATGAGGTGTTTCTTAGTGATAAGTGAATTTCTATTGAAGAAAATTTGAAAGAGAGATTCACAGCTTTCTTTCACCACTTTCTATGCAAAAAAAAAAAAAGCCATACCCTATCCAATCAGACATTGGAATGTGCTTTTCACTGCTGTAACACTGTACCACCACTCTACATTGTGAGGCTCTATTTATAGAAATAGCTAGTATTTATTAAGCACTCACTCTATACCAAGCTCTCTGCTAGGGGCTTTATATGTGTTATCTAGTGCAATCCTCAAAATAAGCAGAAGAGTGCATCAGGATGCTTATTTTTTAAAGAGACGACAGTTTTTTAAAAATTATTTATTTTTCAGCTTTTATTATGGGTTTAGTGGGAACATGTGGACTGTTACACAGGTATATTGCATGCTGCTGAGGTTCATAGTATGAATGAATCTGTCTCCCAGGTGGTGAGCATAGCACCCAGTAGGTAGTTTTTCAGCCCCTTGACTCCTTCTCTCTCTCCTTCCTCTTGTATTTCCCAGTGTCTATTGTTCTCATCTTTATGTCCATGTGTACTTGATGTTCAGCTCCCACTTATAAATGAGAACATGCAGTATTTGGTTATCTGTTTCTGTATTAGTTCACTTAGGATAATGGCCTCCAGCTGCATCCATGTTACTGCAAAGAACATGATTTCATTCTTTTTATGGTTCCATAGTATTCCATGGTATAAATGTACCACATATTCTTTATCCAATCCAGAGTTGATTGGCATCTAGCAAATGTCTTTGCTATTGTGAATAGCACTGTGATGAACGTATGGGTACGTGTGTCTTTTTGGTAGAATGACCAGATTCACAGATTGGTTTCCTTTGGGTACATACCTGATAGTGGAATCACTGCATCCAATTATAGTTTAACTCTTAGTTCTCTGAGAAACCTCCAAACTGCTCCCCCGAGTGTCTGGACTAATTTACATTCCCACAAGCAGTGTATAAGTATCCCTCTTTCTCCACAGCCTTGCCAGTATCTGTGACTTTCGGACATTTTAGCAAAACCCATTCTGAGTGGTGTGAGATGGTATCCCATTGTGGCTTTGATCTGGATTTCTCTGATGATTAGTGATTATGAGCATTTTAAAAATATATTTGTTGGCTGCTTGTATGTTTTCTTTTGAGAAGTGTGTGTTTGTGCCCTTTTGCCTGCTTTTTAATGGGGTATGTTTCTTGCTTGTTGATTTAAGTTGCTTATAGATTCTGGATATTAGGCCTTTGTCAGATGCATAGTTTGCAAATATTTTCTCCCATTCTATAGGTTGTCTGTTTACTCTCTTTAGTTTCTCTTGCTGTGCAGACACTCTTTAGTTTAATTAGGTCCTATTTGTCAATGTGTTGTTGTTGTAGTTGCTTTTGAGGATTTAGCCATAAATTTTTTGCTAGGGCCAATATTGAGAAGGAGTTTTTCTATGTTTTCTTCTAGAATCTTTTTTTTTTAATTTAACTTTTAAGTTCAGGGGTACATGTGCAGGCTTGTTATATAGGTAAACTTGTATCATGGGGGTTTGTTGTACAGATTATTTTGTCACCCAGGTATTAAGCCTTGTACCCATTAGTTATTTTTCCTGTCTAACATTTGTCTTTAATCTGACTTCCATTAATTTTTGTATAGGGTGAAAGGTAGAGATCCAGTTTCCTTCTTCGGCATATGGATAGCCAGTCATCCTAGCACCATTTATTGAATGAGGAGTCTTTTCCCCATTGTTTATTTTTGTTGACTTTGTCAATGATCAGATTGTTTTAGGTGTGCAGATTTATTTCTGGCTTCTCTATTCTGTTCCATTGGTCTACCTGTCTGTTTTTGGAACAGTGCCATGCTGTTTTGGTTACAGCAGCCTTGCAGTATAGTTTCAGGTCAGGTAACATGATGCCTCTGACTTTGTTTTTTTTTTTGCTTAGGATTGCTTTGGCTCTTAGGGCTCTTTTTATTCCACAAAAATTTTAGAATCTTTTTTTTTTCTTAATCTGTGAAAAATGACATTGGTAGTTTGTTAGGAATAGCGCTGAATTTGTAAATTGCTTTGGGCAGTATGGCCATTTTCATGATATTTATTCTTCCTACCCATGAGCATGAAAATACCTAGGAATACAGCTAAGCAAAAAGGTGAAAAATCTCTACAATGACAATTACAAAACACTGATGAAAGAAATCAGAGATGATGCAACAAATAGAGGTGACAGTTTTAAGAAGCTCTAATATCTAACTATGGTGGATAGAGAGTATAAGGAGCTAACCTAGGGTATAAATTGAACTTCAACCTTAAGGTCTATCCATGGAGATTAACTTCCTGAGAAAATGTTATCATGAACTTAATGAATATAAGCTACCAAGCATTGGAATAGCAATTTCAAAGATATTTCTCCTTTGTGTATAAGCTTCATTTAGTGGGGGGTCTACATTCCATGAAAATTTGTGAACTGGAATATCCCTAGTGATTATAGAAACCACAGTCTTCATTGCCTATCAATATGTTTGGTTAAACTATATTCACAGAGATAATTTAATTGCAAATGAATGTAACTTAGTTGTTTTCTAATCTGAAATCATTTTTAGGATATTTTAAAAATATACATGTCACATACTTAATTTTTATGAGGGCATAAAAATAACAACACATATCTTGGATATTTTATCATACTTTTAAAAAACATTTAAGCTTGACTCCACATTTTCTCTTTTCCCTGAACCTACATTAGCTCACCTGTACCCTAAATTTCATAATTCCTACATATCCTTTATTTCCATTTTATTTCCCAGAAAATACATGTATGTATAACATATATGTATATATGTGTATACACACACACAATGTCTTAGTCTATCCAAGCTGCTATAACAAAATAATGTAAACTGGGTAGGCTATAAACACCAGAAATTTATTTATCACAATTCTGGGCTCTGAAAAGTCCAAATCTGAGGTAGATTTGGTGTCTGGTAAGGGCTTCCTTTCCAGCTTATAGGTGATGCCTTCTAGCTATGTTCTCCCATGTGCAGGGAGTGAGAAATCGCTCTCAGATCTCTTTTATAAGTACACTAATGTCATTCATGAGTGACCCACTCTCCTCATCTAATCATGTCCCAAAGACCTCATCTCCTAGTACTATCACCTTGAGGGTAGGATTTCAACATAAATTTTGGGGAGACATAAACATTCAGATCATAATACATCACACACACACACACACATACGTTACAAACACCTAGCCCAGCTGCATTTTTGGACAAGACACTAGAGAAAGAAAGAATCTTTGTAATTTGCAAGTGCTTTTAGTCTCATATATTACTTAATAATTTTGGAATTATTCTTTGAATACAGCATTTTCTTCTAAAGGAATGCCTGTTTATGTTAGTAAATTTTTTAAACAAATCACATATTCCTCACTATAAGAGAAAAATCAAGGTGATTATGTATTAAATTCTCACATATACAATGGAGTCTGCTTTTGAACATGACTGGATTCCACTGATCAATTTGTCTATTGCTAGTTTACATCAATACCACCTTAATTTTATTAATGTGGTTTTATATTATGTTCTAATATCTAGTTCTCTTTTTTATATATTGTAACTTATTTCCTTCTCATATTTTCCTATCACATATTAGATATTTGTTTTTTCTTACAATTTTAAAATAAATTTTGCAGTTAGGTTATTTTACTTTTGTATTTACTGCAATCAGTGTTAGAATACTTGTGGTTATGACATTTTGATCTAGTTTCTGATTTTAATTGAAATGCAGTTGGAGTTACTGATTTGGGATAATATTTTCCACTATTGTTGGTAAACTGTCTTTCTTACAGTTAAGTGGGTCTCTACTTTTATGGATTACTTAGAGTTTTTAAAATTAGGAATGTGTTTCTTAATTTTCTCAAATACCCTTTCAACCTTTATATCTGTAATCTTGTGCTTTTTCTATTTTGTATTTATTTTTTTTGAGACAGAATCTCTCTCCGTCACCCAGGCTGGAGTGCAGTGGCGTGATCGTGGCTCATGCAACCTCCGCCTCCCGGGTTCAAGCGATTCTCCTACCTCAGCCTCCCGAATAGCTGGGATTACAGGCATGGGCCACTACACCTGGCTAATTTTTGTATTTTTAGTAGAGACAGGGTTTTGCCATGTTGGCCAGGCTGGTCTTGAACTCCTGACTTCAGGTGATCCGCCTGCCTCGACCTCCCAAAGTGTTGGGATTACAGGCGTGAGCCACTGTGCCTGGCAATCTTGTGCTTTTTCTTTGTGTTGCACATGTCTTTGGGTGTCTTATTTTCTTAATAAGTCATCTAGTGGTAGATCAAATAAAATTTTATTTTTAAGTAAGGAATAAATGAGGGTGGTTTAAAGTCATTAAATAACTTTTTATGAAGAATAACCCTATGCTCTTTCACAATAAAGAGGCAAGGGCCAAGAAAATTTGGACCATGGCACTTTCATTTATGGCAAATAATACTGCTAGAAGTAGATAATCGGCTGGGCTTCTTTGACTTCATTTCTGTTTCAAAGAGAATTAGTCAGTCTTCCAAATTCCCTCTTTTTTTTTATTTCTATCATAGTTCAAGTACAATATAATTTAAGTATATGTTAGTATATTTCCATCTCACAGTAAAACATGTATCCTTAGGGGCAAAGTTCTCTTTTTCTCTGTACATATCAGTGTTTAGCACCCTGCCCCAGCACGTAATAGCTGTTCAACAAACAGTTGTTGAATAATAGAGCTGTTATTCTATTTATTTCTTGTCTTTAGAATGGCAGAATGAGAAAGAAATGTTGAATAAACATAGGTATGTATTTTGATGGCTGTCTTCTTAAAAGTTAAGTCTTTTCTAAGAGAGTTTAAAAGTTAACTCACTCTCTGAGGAATTAGGAATGTTGTTCTGCTGACAAGGAAAAATTTGCTGTGATTCTGGCTGAGCCATAATGAATTCTGTACCATCTGTTAAGGATTAACAAGAAATAGAAAACCAATGGATGGTAAGTGTACTTAGATCACATATCTAATCAATAAGCATCTTCAATCTACTTGAAATGTCTGTAAATATAAAGTCTTAATTGCTGCTTTATATTTAGTATTGTAGAAAACGAATCAAAGCTTCAGCAACTTCTCCCAGAAAGTAGTACTCAAAGTATCCTCACCAGGGAAACTGGGCTTTTGGACAAAGATTTTATAGAAAGTTAAGATTGTATGAGCCAAATAACAAAAAAGCTAGTACATTTACCTGATTTAAACAGTCAGGCTGGTAGTTTAGTGTCAACTGCTTGAATCTTTTCATTGATTGTCAGTGTATATTTTGTGTATAAATGAAATAAGAACATGCAGAATTCCGATATTTCCTAGGATTTTACCTCAATCCTTAATAGCATTTAAAAAAAACTATTCTGTAAATGCAGCCAGTATAATGTAAAATAAATTTGCTTGTTTCATCCTGTAAATACTCCGGATTGACTACACTGAAAGAATGAAAATAATATTTTTTGATTGCATACTTCCTAAAAGTGATAGGTCTTTTAAAGAGGTATATTAAGTTAAAATGAGGCCATTAAGATAGGCCCTAATCCAATTTTGCTGGTGTCCATATAAGAAGAGCAAATCTGAACACATTGACACGTGGAATGAGCACTCATGGTTCAAAGACCATGTTACACACAGTGAGAAGGCAGCCATCCACATGCCAAGAAGTGGGGCCTCAGAAGAACCAAGTCTGCTGATGTCTTGATCTTGGACTTCTGGCCTCCAGAACTTTACGAAATTTAACTGATTTTGTTTAAGCCACTCAGTCTGTGGCATTTTGTCATGGCAGCCCTAGCAAACTTTTGTACCTTATGTGGCAAAATGCGCTCTGCAGAGGAACAATCTGCTAGTCTAACCTCTCCATCCACGTTAAATTAGGGATCTTAAAATGGGGAAATTATCTGAATTATCTGAGTGGGTTCTAAATGCCATCACATACATCCCTATAAGAGGGATATAGAGGGATATTTGAATAAAGGACAGAAGTTGAAGTGAAGATGGAAGAAGAGATTGAAGTGATGTAGCTACAAGTCTCTGCAAAAGGAAAAACAAGCATTGGATTCTCCTGGGAGCCTCCAGAAGAAAGCCCTCCTAACACACTGATTTTGGTCCTACAAGACTCAGTTTGATTGTGGCCTCCAGAACAGTGAGAGAACAAACATGTGTTGTCTCAACTACCAAAAAATAAAATATAATAAATTTGTTTAGAATATACTTTCACAGTCATCTGTGAAAATTACAAATTTAAATATTAATAAAATCAGAAAAATTTATTTTATTCTACTCTAGGCTGAATATTTTACCTACTTGCAAAATGTACTCTTCCCCCACCCCCAACCCCAGCAACGTATCCCAATGGCTGTGTCCTTGAAATCCTTTCGCAAAATACAAACACACCTACACACACACACACACACACACACACACACACACACACACACACACACGCAAACATACATTTTGTATTCTATAGTAAGGACAAAGTGTTTCTGTTCTGGTTTTGATATCTCTTTGAGACAGTGTAAAGACAGTAAGTATTTCTAGTTTTTCTGAAGATGTCCTAAAACAAAAAGTTTAATTGCCTAAACAGACACTGGTATTTCCAAGTCATACCCTTTCCCCGAACACCCACAACATCATAGCTATCTTCTCTCCAAATTAGCAGAAATTATTCATCCATTCAATTATTCATTGATTTATTCAATAATTATTTTTGAAACTTATTACATGTCAGTAACTAGAGGTAGTGATAAAACAAGTTTCAATCCTCACAGTCTACAAAAGCTGTTTGAATATTTAAATTTATATATAAATATATGTATAAATATTATATATTATATATAACATTAAATTATATTAATTTAGAGATATAAATTTATATATATATAATATAGCAATACTCTAAGATAAAAATTTGTGTGCATAATGGCAGCAACCAATTATGGTGGGAAAGGAAAAAATGTAGATGATGCCGCAGCACTGGAAGCAAGAAGTAGGTAAAAGGGCCCAAAATTACTTTATAAGGGAAATTGAAAAGGTGACATGTTTATTTTGAGGACTGACTTACTGAGTTTTATTGCAGTTGCTGTTTGGAATGCCTAAACCTTCCAGTATATGAGGCAATTGAGAGAGAGATGATCTTTGAGCAGGCTGGCATAAAGTTGATGCCTGGTCTCAGGGTGAATTAAACGTTTTATTGATGACAAATCATTTCAAATCAAGGAATGAAAAAGAGAAATCAAATCCAGACATTTATCTAACTAACCTTGCCTACACTTCTGATGTCTTGGATTCAGGGCAGGTTTTCTGCCTTTTGAAGATTCTGATATTTGTTATATTATTTTTTCTGCTAACAGGAGAGTTGGGATGCATAGGTTGTATGTAATTTTTCTACTACAGGTAGACGGTTCAGATACCAATGTGTTCCACGAAGCTAAACACATAATTTATTTTCCAAATAGATAAAAGATGATTTGTTAAGAGCATTAGGTAGCTCAGTAAGAAAATAAGTTGTGTAATGAGAGACCTACCGCAAGCTGGGAAGTAGCGTACAGCAAAGAAATCTATCAAAGGCCTATCTAGCAGTGGTAGAAGAAATAACCAAGATCTGTTTTCACCATCTGACTTTTAATGACATTGTGTTTTATCTTAAAACTCACTTGCTTACATGGGAAATAGAATATAAAATACATTATGAATTTCGTATAAATTTTTTATCATTGATGTATTATAACTGTATTCTCAGTCTGCTGGACGAGGACCATAGCAGTTATTATTTAAAATATCCCTTAATGTAAGTCTCCTGATTTCAAATATTAGCTTAAATCTCAAGCTTAGCAAATCATGTATTTCTTCTTTGCAAATATACTACTGCACTCCAAGCACAGCTGGGGATCGTTTTACTAAGACTTGGTATTAGATATATGAAGAATCAGATTTCATCCGTTAAACAAAATTGGGTGTAATAAACACATGAAGGAAAATCATGTAACACATTCTATTTCTATCAAAAATCTAGTGAACATACAGCTACTGAGCATCCACTATTTGAAAGGCCAGATGCTACTGGTGACACATAGGTGAATCAGGTACATTCCAAACATGAAGTTGCTTCTGACTGAATTATGGAAATTAGACACAAACACATGAGTTGTTAAATCACAATTTAGTAGAATTAGTATTACAGACCAATACCTGATTGATTGATTGATTACCAAATAAACTATCAACTACTTTTTGTGGTCTCAGTAGCATTACAATAGTTCTACTGAACTTTCTCGGTATATCTCCTTTTAGTTATATACCTGTAAAGTTTCCGAAGGAAAGCATTGCTAATTCTAAGAGAATGTCATTTTCGTGATTCTCTCAAAGCACTGAGCACAGATAGAAAATGACTTATTTTCACTACAAACAGCTGCTGAAGCTCTTGCTGTAGTCCCTGGTTGCGCATCTCTTCCCAACAGCAATTATATTATGTCTTCTTTTATTGTAGCAGGTGCTGAAGCATGTAGGGACAATTTGGTATTGTGACAGAGCTGCCCATTTGCTGGCAAGGTAAGTTTGTTTTCTTCATTCTTTGTGTCAGCTAACTTGTTAGGGGCCTCTGATGAGCAGCTAAAGATGCAATGATCCTTTTGAAGATGTCTGCTATGATGAGCATTTACTGGGGACCTGAGACTACCTTATGAAATACTATCTATAAAGTGCCCTCCGTATGGAGGAAGGAGAGGGGGAAGAAAAGAAAAGCTCCATTAACATTATCTTCAGAAATGTGTTATAGAGAAGGTGTTGGCCTCGCCTTCTTCCTCTCAGGTGAACTCTAATTCAGAAAACATGTCCTGAATATATCCTCTTTGAGTTCAAGAAGTTATAATACAAATCTCTACATAAACAGTCACAAAGTTACTAATAAATTGTACTTCTCCTGAATTTCTTTGTATGCTTGGCAGCCCCACATTTTCATATTATAATATCATAGCCATCAAAAAATAATTATTTTCAGCTTTAGCTGTGATAGATCTAATACTGCTTTTAATAATTACTCAGTGTATGCCTTTGGCTTTACAATCTGTCCAGAGTTAATATTTTCTTTAAACTACTAAATATCTCATTAGGAGGATATCTCTGAGATACTGGCTAAACTCATAAAAAACAAAATATAAAAACAGTAACATTTGCCTATCTATCCATTCTTTTTTCATTCAGTTATTTACTAGATATTTTTGTGTGCATTTACTATGTTACAGAAGCCTGTGTTAGGTGCTGAAGATAGTAAATACAAATGATCTGGCACGTAGCATCATATAACTTAAGTGTTTGAAGGAAATTTTTGTGTGGTTATAGTAAACAAGAAATTACAGTCAAAGCACCATATTTTAACAGTGAGGTGATGGCAAAGTACAGAGAGGGATGGAAACACAAAGCATGGAGATTTTTCTAAGATTAAAAACTAGATAGAACCACATTTTTAGAGTTTCAGAGTTTGGTTCACATTTGCCAAATCTGAAGTTCGGCTGACTACCAGGAAAAAATGAATGTCAATGGGACTCTTTGGCCTTGAGCAAAACACGTGCTTTCCCAGAGTAAGGTTCATTAATTATGAAGAGCACTGCCATAACATTTAGTGAATGAGCAATCTTAATGAAAATAGAAAGTAAGTATTGAATGAATTGTTAAATCTATCACAAAGAAGTTCTCCCAAGTACGAACACATTTCAAAGGATAAGATTGGAATTTTCAGAGAGGTAATACAAATCTGTCACAGTGAGTCACATATTATCATGGATAGTTACGTAGTTTCCAATTTCAATTAGACTTTCCAATCATGTAAACAAGTACATAAAATTACATAGGATTTATCTGAGTGTTTTTTATGAAAGAAGAATACTAATCTAAGAAAGAAGTCTTGGAAAGTAAGAAGCAGTTATTGTAACTCAAAAGAATAATGAAAAGATAGCCCAAATTTCCTAGCACTAATCATTATTAAAGCCCAATTCACTCTCAGAAGTATACTTATTTGCACAATAAATTAAATTGTCAGCAATTCTTATGTACCAGAAAGTCTACTGAATACTTTGAGTCACAGAACAGATTTTGCTTCAGAAATTCATTTATTCAGATCCATATAAAACCCAAAACTTCAGTCTTTATTCATACAATGTTATTATCCTCCCCCAGGTAAATTTTGTTGCAGGAAAGAAGGCTGTAGCAATAGAAGTGGGGGCAAGGTATAAATCTTTTTCCTTCATTATTTACCTCCACCCTAAGTAGCTATAGTTCCTCTGATAGATATAGCCTTTCTTTTCAATGAAAGATAGCCTACATTTGCAGCTGCAGAGTTTTTGCAACCTAATTATTTCTTGTAGAAGTTTGAGAATCCAAAGACTGTTGTTTGTGTTGACTCTTATTTTTGGTACAATCTGACTGTGTTTTGACCAATATAATTTTCACTGAAATTGTATAGGTCTCCCTATAATCTTATAGGGATTCACTATATTAAACAAAAGCCACACACCCAAATCATTCTGTGATAAGCCTTAACTTACCTTGGAGTTCTGCTAAAAGTGCTTAGCAGCAACCTGAAAGCTTACTAGCATATGTTGTTTCACTGAATTATTCTCTGAGGCACTAGATTTCATGGATCTGAACTCTAAGCGATGATTCTACAGCCACATCCTCAGCTCCATATTTAGATCATGTTTATCAGGAAACATGATCAGCTAGAATCCATTTCTAATTTTAGGATTGTTCCCAAACAGGAGAGGCTGGAAATTCTAAAAATCAGCAATTACTGGCTCCCTTAATTTAGCAGCCATTCCTTTAGCTTATTTTACTCCTCCCACATTTTGGTATAAGCAGCAGGAAGACAGAAGAAGGTATCTTTTTATTTATTATTTATTTATTTATTAACTTTAAATTCTGAGATTGGGATCATCTGCAGAACGTGCAGGTTTGTTACCTAGGTATACGTGTGCTATGGTGGTTTGCTACACCCATCAATCCATCATCTAGGTTTCAAGCCCCCGATCACCGGTCATTAGAGAAATGCAAATCAAAAACCACAATGAGAATAAGGGTTGTTTTTTTTTTCTTTTTCTTTTTTTTTTTTTTTTTTTTTTTTTTTGGAGATGGAGTCTTGCTCTGTTGCCCAGGCTGGAGTGCAGTGGCGCGATCTCATCTCACTGCAACCTCTGCCTCCCGGGTCCCAGCGATTATTCTGCCTCAGCCTCCTGAGTAGCTGGGACTATAGGCGTGCACCAGCATGACCAGCTAATTTTTGTATTTTTAGTAGAGATGGGGTTTCATCATATTGGCCACGCTGGTCTCGAACTCCTGACCTCATGATCTACCTGCCTCAGCCTCCCAAAGTGCTGGGATTACAGGTGTGAGCCACCAAGCCCGGCCAGAAGAAGATATCTTTAAAAAATTCCCAGAAATCAACTTAGTTTGATTACTCAATCTATTAGGTACTTTTTTTTTTCCACATTCCCATAGATGACAGTGTTGCTATACTTTCTGCCACTATGCCACTATCAAAGATTGCCGGCCAGGTGCACTGGCTCACACCTGTAATCCCAGCACTTTGGGAGGCCTAGGAGGGCGGATCACTTGAGGCCAGGAATTTGAAACCAGCCTGGCCAACATGGTGAAACCCCATCTCTACTAAAAATACAAAAATTAGCCAGGTGTGGTGGTGCACGCATGTAGTCCTAGCTACTCAGGAGGCTGAGGCATGGAGTTGAGAATTGCTTGAATCTCGGAGGCAGAAGTTGAAGTGAGCCAAGATCGCACCACTGTACTGCAGCCTGGGTGACAGAGTGAGACTGTCTCAAAAAAAAAGAAAAGAAAAAAATAAAAGATTTCCTATCTTCTGGATTCCAATAACATTTTTCTTACTTTTCAAGTTTCATCATTCTTCTACTAACAGTCTGGTCACAGCACTTTAGGTTTTCACTAATACTCCCACTTCTGCTCACTTATAAGCTACAAAGCCTCTCTCACATTGTCAGACATTTATTTGGCAGCATTCCTACTTCCAGGTACAAAATTTTTATCAGTGATCTATTGCTATGTTACAAATTACCCCAAAACTTAGCAGCTTAAAATAGCGATAGATATTTATTATCTCACAACATTTCCCTGGGCCAGGAATTCAGGAGCATCTTAGCTAGGTCTTTCTCTCTTGAGTCTCACATTAAGTTGCTGTCAAAATGTCAAGTATGCCTTTGATCACCTAAAAGACTAATGGGGTCAGCAGATTCACTTCCAAAATAACTATCACATGACTGGCAAACTGATCCTGGCTGTGACAAGAGGCCTCAATTCCTCACTCTGGGGATCTTTCCACAGGGCCCTGTAAGTGTCCTTTTGACAAATATTCCAAGAGAGAGCAAAGCAGAAGCAGTTATGTCTTTTAAGACCTAACATCAGAATTCACACCTTGTCATTCCCATGATATCGAATTGTTACACCAGCCGGGAGTACTTAATGTGGGAGGGGCCTACACAATGGTATAAAATACCACTGTGCAAGAGTCTTTGGGGGCCACTTTGGAGGCTTCCTACAGCAAACAGCTTAGTATTATAAGCTGCCTTCAAACTCTCAGAACCTGGCAAATACTTAAGCTTAACTCTTTCTGTCAAGAGACACTTTCCTCGGTTATTTAAAGAGGTAACTCTCACCCACCCCACCCACCCCCAACCACCCACCCCTACCCACCCACCAGCCCCACCCAACCCTACCCACCTCCCCTCACCCCCCGTCATCTCCTACCAGTCACCCACCCCTACCACTCTGCAACCCCAATCATAAGGGATTTTTAGCTCTTTTACGTCCCTTTGGATTCATCTCTATGCTGGAAAATCATCAACTACTTGTGTAGCCCCAAAGCAAGCTAGCTATATCTTCAGGGTTCATCTAAAAGATGAAGATCTTTTTCCTCCAAGATAGCATTTTTAAGAAGGAAATGAAATAGTCCCACTTTAGTTCATTTCCATACCTTGGTCCATATTTTTGCCCTGATGAACTCTGTAAGTGCTGCTCCATCCCAATACAGCCTCCCCATCTGTCAACATCTAAGCAATCCAAGTACATCTCTTTAGCTTTCTCAGGTAGGTCTAAGATACCTGTTTACATGTTTGCCCTAGCTAAGGAGAAAAATATCAAACTGTCTAGCAGTCCTGATAAAGGTTCTCTTTTGTGAATTGAGGAAAATAAAAAAGCTTCTGTTTCCACCCCATAGAAAGAAAAAATTCTTTCATTGGAAAATCAGACTCCAGGATTGCCCCCAAATAACTATTTTCTTCTAAGATCTATTTTTCATTTTTTTTCCAAACATTCTTTACACTTTACCTATTAAAGCTATGACCCAGTGATTTATTACAAAGCAATATCAAATGTTTCTCTTCTAAATTCAGATGGATTCCCTCTAAGATGTAAAATATCATTTAAATATTGCTTCCTTTTGGTATTTTCACATCTGTTGCCTCACTCTTCTCACATAACCCTTTTTTTTTCTAATTTTAAGACATATTCCTTCATAAATCTGTTAATTAATGTTCTTCAAGTTTTAAGAAATAGAGAAATACCCAGTTTATTTCAGGTCACATAAAAATACACGAGGATATTAAAAAAATATATGCCCCAAGCTGGTCAAGCTGCTGCACACAAGCATTATAAGGCTTGAAATGATGACTGCTTCTCTTCTTCCCATGATACAACATCAGCTCTCCTGACACAAGTGCAGACCTGCAGACCTGGTTATCGTGTCCTTCAATATGATGTGGGTATTTGAAGCTGTCTATGTTATGCGAAAATTCTCTCTTCCATTTTGTCTCTCTCTCTCCCCAACCCCCATCTCATTGTGTGCCTCCTGTTCCTTTTCACATTGTATGTAGTTTTTTTTTTTATTCATTGCTCTAGATTCTTCTATCTATCTCTGTGTGTTTGTATATGTGTGTGTGTGTGTGTATTCTTTTAAATTTATGTTCACATTTTCCAAAGAAAGGGTACTCTTATTGGGAGTTCTCAAATCAGGATACCTATCTTGGACTTCTGGTTTTAGTAATACACAGGTTAGATGATTCACTTTAGTTCATGAAACAACGCTGTGTTCAGAGAAGTAGAAACAGGTGACTCAGACATACCTTCTCCCCTGTGGCCACTGTCCTCATAAAGTTGAACTTAACAGACTCACTCAACAGTGGCCTCCATCTCTGACTGCACATAAGCCCACACTGCAATGTTTTAGAAACTAAACAAGCCTCAGTAGTACATCTAAGAGAATTTTATGTTATAGGCCTGGAATAAGGCCTGTAAAATTACAAATTTACACAAAATTTTGGTGCAAAGCCAGAGTTTAAAGTCACTAAATTAGAACCCAATTGGCTTTTTCCACATGCATAAAAAATGTATGTTGAATCATTTTACACTGCAATAAATATCAACTAATCTATAAAGAGCTATATAAATAAAACTTCCTTACTTTTTTATTTTTGTATTTTATTTTATTTCAAGTTCTGGGGTACATGTGCAGGATGTGCAGGTTTGTTACATAGGTAAATGTGTGCCATGGTGATTTGCTGCACCTACCAACCCATCATCTAGGTATTAAGCCCAGCATGCATTAGCTATTTTCCCTGATGCTCTCTTCCCACCCCTTCCCTCCCCACAACAGGCCTCAGTGTGTGTTCTTCCCCTCCCAGTGTCCATGTGTTCTCCTTGTTCAGCTACCACTTGTAACTGAGAACATGCAGTGTTTGGTTTTCTGTTCCAGCATTAGTTTGCTGAGGATAATGGCTTCCAGTTCCCTGCAAAGACATGATCTCGTTCCTTTTTATGGATGCATAATATTCCGTGGTGTATTGTACCACATTTTCTTTATAATTTTTATTTTAAGAAATGGCTGAATTTTAATAAAATAAAATGCAAGCCAAATTACATGACCCCAAAATAAAACTTAGTTGAGTAAAATCATACTACAACATTATTTGTGAGGCTTTTCTCCAACTCCTTGGTTAAACAAAAAACTAAATGAAAAGATCACATAATTATTACCATTACATATAAATATCTAATGTAATTTATATTTTGCTTAAAAGAGCTATGAAAATCTTACATTTATAATGTTTCTCAGTGACTGGGGGTAGCTAGCAAAAACACTGAAAGATAAGTAGAACCATATTATTTCATAAAGAAGAAAAGTGGTATAGTCATGATCCATAAATTAAGAAGGCATTTCAAAACACATTATATCTATATACTTATAAGGAAGTAAATTGCTTACAGTTTTCAAAATAATCTAGGACTTTAGAAATTCTGGGTATTCTAGAGATGTTTGTGGCTAGTTATCTTTCTAATGCATTTTTCTAAAGCTTTCAAAATCAGACAAATTCTGTTTCAGACAATGGCAGATTAGCTTTTAATTTTCTGTGGAGGTCCAATCTCCCCAATGGGAAAATTAAAAAAGATAAACAATTTTAATAAAGTTAAATAAAGTGTTTCTTTGCAGATATCAGATATAATTTACAGAGAAATGATCCTGGAGGAAGGAAAACCAGAGAAATGGGCCTTGCATTTTATTTTTAACAAATTATCACAAAGACTATTGGGAGGGTAAGAAAGTATGTTTAGGATTATTGAGGCTAGAGAGAAATAAAATGAAGTTCAAGGCCTACTAAAAACAAAAATAGAATACTGGTAAATAATCTGGACTTTAATTGGAATCCCAAAGACATTCTGTCTATGATTAAGGATGAAATCAGAAATAGATTAGACCTCAAAAAAACTTAAGCCCCAATTTGAATTGTCTTGATTTCTGGATTTGTCCCTATTTAGCTACCTATCATAAGCAAAGTAAGCAAAGTAAATCCTCTTGTACAAAGAAACAACACCCTAGAATTCAAATTATATTTAAAACTTTTGTATACAATCTAGAATTCAATTTAAAAAAACTAGACTGTTAGAGAGATGAAACTTGGTTGAAATCAAAGGAAAAAAAGCAATAGGGAAAACCCACAGGAACTATAGATAATGATTTAGCAGACCTAGACATTAAAATAATTATGGTAAAGATTTGTAAGGAGTTAAAAGAAAATATTTTGGTTAGAGACTTGAAAACTGTTACAAAGGAACCAGGATTTGGCTCTATGGGCCAACAGCAAAATCGTGAAGTAGAAAGTTCTCTAAGCTCTTGTTACACCACAGAAACAGCAAAAAGAAAAAAAGAAAGAGAAAAAGAAATCAGAATATGGTTGAATCAATCTCATAGAAATAACCTTAAAGTTTAACAGTAACCAAGAGAAAAAGAGAGAGAGAGAGAGACAGAGAGAGAGAGAGAGAGAAGGAAGGAAGGAAGGAAGGAAGGAAGGAAGGGAGGGAGGGAGGGAGGGAGGGAGGAAGGAAGGGAGAGAAAGAAAGAAGGAAAGAAAGAAAGAAAGAAAGAAAGAAAGAAAGAAAGAAAGAAAGAAAGAAAGAAAGAAAGAAAGAAAGAAAAAGAAAGAAAGAGAAAGAAAGAAAGAAAGAAGAAAGAAAGAAAGAAAGAAAGAAAGAAAGAAAGAAAGAAAGAAAGAAAGAAAGAAAGAAAGAAAGAAACGAACCTGTAAACAGGTAGGAATTTGATGGTGTTTTTATTTGCCTTGCCCTACCTCTCCCCTGTGCAGCCTGAACTTGGTCTGAGGAGGCAGCAGCCCATTTCCCAGTTCCCTCCTTCAAACTGCAGGGAGCAAGGGAGCAAATCAGACCTTGTTGAGATGTTTTAGTCTGTCTGGGATGCCTGGGGACAGACAGAAAGAAGGGAGAAGCTACAATTATGATGATTTGTTGAAAGTTGAAAGTTTTCAGTAAACAAATTCTTGGATCTCCTCTACCTCTCTGTATAGCTGCCAAATTGCTATTCTCTAATTGTGACAAGAATGATGTGATGTTTTCTGGACTGGGGAATTAACAGATCAAATTGAGAGTGTGTGTAGTGTACTGAAAACACTAAAATTAAATACACATCTGCATTATGGATGCTGGGATTCTCAGCCCTGTTCTTACATTTTGCTACAAGAATACTGGCAACTAATTGAAATGGAGATTCAGAGTCTTATTTGGAGAAAATGGTTTGCTCAAGTTAAAAGACCACAGGCCAGAGGTATTAGAAGTTCCCCAACTAAATGGAAGAGCAATATTATAGTCAAGTGACACTCATACATTTGAATTTAGCTCCATAAATCTAAAACACTAGTATTCAACCAAAGAATAGCAGGCTTCTGAAGAAATAAAAAGGTCAGAGAATGAAATAGGAAAAACAAAATAAAAGCAACTTTGTCAAAATAGAATCTATTCAGGAAGAAGAACACTTACAGTAAAATAAGTTAATTTTTAAAAATTTGAAAATTGAACCCTATAATTAATACCAGAGAGAGAAGAGATTTAATTGCAACCACAAACTTAGAACAGGATAATACCAACAAAGCTCCAAAATACTGTTTTAAAAATGATGACATAATAAAATTATAGCTGTAGTAGAATAAAGAGAAATGTTCTTTCTTTTTCTAAAATGAGAGAAAAAGCATGGTTCTATGCTGATTGGCTTGATTCTTTTGAAAGGGAAAATTTGATGTAGAAGAAAGAGGGAAAACAATTCAAGACATTCTCAATTTTGTTGCCTGAGATTTTGGAGTCAAATATAAAAACATAATCATTGCGGAGACCGATGTTATATAAGTTTTGCCTTATGTTTTTTCTATTACTTTTATAGTTTCAGGCCCTACATTCAAGTCTTTATTTTGAGTTGATTTTTGTTCATGGTGTGAGATAAGGGTCCAATTTTGTTCTTCTGCACTGAATATCCAGTTTTCCCAAGCCTTTCCCCATTGTATGTTTTTGACAGCTTTGTCAAAAGCAATTGACTATAAATGTATGGGTTCATTTAGGGGCTCTCTATCGTGTTCCATTCATTGATATATCTATTTTTATGCCAGTATTATGCTATTTTAATTATTGTAGGTTTGTAATATACAGATGATCCCCGACTTACAATAGGGTTATGTCCCAATAAACCCAGTGTAAACTGTAAAAATCATAAGTCAAAATATCCAAGTTGGGAAGTATTTATAATTTAAAGTCAGGTAGTTTGTAGTTTGATGCTTCCAGTTTTGTTCTTTTTGCTCAGAATTGCCTTGGCTGTTTACGGTTTTTTTTGTGTGTGTGTGTGTACATTTGTGTGGTTCCATTATGACTTTTGGGATTGTTTTTCCTATTTCTGTAAAAAAAAAATGGCATTGGAATTTTGATGCAGATTGTATTGAATCTGTAGATCAAGTTGGGAAGTACAGACATTTTAACAATATGAATTATTCCAACCCATGAACACAGAGTATTTTTTCATTTCCTTGTATATTCTGTAATTTCTTTTCTCAAAGTTCTGTAATTTCTAAGACCTGTATTTTTCATCTCCTTGGTTAAATTTATTCCTAAGTATTTTATTTTGTGTACCTATTATAAATGGAATTGTTTTCCATGGATAAATGGGGCAGAGGGAATTGGTACACAGACCCATATCCATGGAAGGCAGAAGGTCTGATTGACAACAGAAAATTAGTGAGCTGTAGAAATGCGAAAGTAATTTCTGGTGCTCAAGTGAAGGAATAGGTTTTAGAGCAGAGCATGGATGGTTTATCAGTACATCTGTGGGACCAGGAAGGAAGGCCCAGTTGTTGGATCAGATGCTAGTAGATGGATAGATGTAGTTGTATGAATCTGGGGATCTCTGCTGAATGTTTTAGTTGTCTCAGTGAAATTGTCATTAAGACTATCAGCTGAAAGTAAGAAGACAGGGAAAATTGATATTTGAAGAGAAAGGAAGAACGTGAAATAAGCTTCTAGGAGAGTGGGAAAATAAATAGACTACAGAAATAGAGTGTGATCCTCTGCTCATCTGAAGTTTTTGGCCATGAATTTAAAGTAAGACTACTCAGTTGCATTGTTTGTGTTACTCTAGTCATTTTCAGCGGCACAAATGTCTTTGAAAATCTCAAAAAAAAATGATTTTCAACATAGAATTCTATACCTTTCCAAACTTTCAGTAAGAGTCGGGATGAGATAAAAATAATTTCAAACACACAGGTTTTCAAAGAAGTGACCTCCCATGCATGCATTCCGAGGAAATACTGAAGGATGTGCTCCATCAAGATGAGGATATAAACTAAGAAAAAGAGAGATATGAGATAACAAGAAACAGGAAATCAAACGTGGATAGCAGTGAAGGGAATCCTTGAATATATGTGAAAGGAGGGGCTCACACAACAGCTGTGCTCCAAGAACAGAGGGCAGTCAAATCTGACTAGAAGGAGTACTGCTTCAGGAAGATGAAATGGACAGAATATGTGAAATAACTAAATGTCTTTAGAGGAGATTCAGGAAATTTTTAAAAAGTTGGTTACTGATGAGTACGTAAAGATATGAAAATTATTAGTTCCCAGTAAAATAAAAAGGTTTCTAGGAGGGAAAAGTAATTATAGTTTATTGACCGGATCAGTTGTAAGCAGTGTTTACAACATAATAATGCAAATACTGAACAGCAGTCTTATAAAAATTCCATATAACAATATCACAATGTTGGGGGATAGAAGTACCATTCATGCATGGTGGAAATAGCAATTGGAGAACTAAAAATATCCAAATTCTTACATTAAAAAGGAGGTCAGCTATTAATAATTCAGGCTGAAAAATAAAAATGCTGCAATGTAAGCTTTTATTTAGAAATTTAGATCAATGCCAAAATAATTACTCAATAGAGGTGAAATTAGTTGTCTTTGGAATGGGAGCAGGGGAAAAGGCAGAGAACTTTGCTTCCCTCCAAGAAATGACATAGAACCATTTTACTCATTATGCTCACGCATAACTGTGTGCAAGAAAAAGAGAAGAAAAAGAACACACACAGAAGAAGTAGCACACTTGAAAGAAATGGAAAGTGGTTCAAAGTAGCTGCAGGGTAGAATGTGTGTAGTGATGTTTAAGGCCAATAAAAAGAGAAAAGTAGGTTGTGAGAAAAACGTCAAACTAAGAAACTTTTACTTCATTCAAGAGAATATAAGAAATCATCACAAGTAATGAGGCAAGAAAATTATATAATCAGATTTGTGCAAAGATGATTCTAAGAGCAGTGTACATTGTAGTTTGGAAGATACAAGGCTGAAACATCAAAATGAGCCACATTACTGAAATTTCTCAGAAAGACACCAGGGCCTTAGGCTGTCTGTTTCCTTTCAGGCTATGTGTATCTATTCCACTTCCATATCCCTCACCTTTGCCTATTTCTCTTTCCACTTCTCCTTAAGACTTATTTTCTTCTCTAAAGCCAATAATAGAAGTGAAGATTTTGTGTGTGTGTGCATATGTGTGTGTGTGTTACTGTGGGCATATGCATAACATGCATATTTTTCTGAAAATGAATACATAACTATGCACTCTACTTAATTTAAAAGGTGTGTATATATGAAAATTCTATTATCTTATGGAAAAAATAATTCTATTTTACAATGTGGATAATTGTTTTTTATGGGCCAGTGGTCTCTGACATAAAATATATTGTCTAAAATGTTATCTAAGCCCTAAATTGGAGTTTGAGGTAAAAAAAAATAGAAATAAATATATAACATTATTAATCTGAAAACATCCCTGATGCTATAAGTCAACCCTAATATCCTTAGTGAGACCTAAAATGAGAGCTAATGCCCAGCGTTGTGCTTGGTCTCTCATGTAAAATCCAGACTAAAGGATCCAGCCATTTGAATCCGATCAGCCGTGGGTGGGACCTCTCCCTGATGCTATTTATCTCTGTGTGTATGATGCCCCAAGTCCTTCACTTAGAAATTCTTTCATTAACTGTTCATTTTGGCTCTCTCTGCTGCTGACATGATCATTTTTCTTCCCTGTGTTGCTGCTATTTTATTTTCTAGTCTCTCTCTCTCCTTTCTAGAATGCCTCTAAGTTTCACATTTCTACAGCTCACTAATTTTCTGTTGTCAATCAGATCTTCTGCCTTCCATGGATATGGGTCTGTGCACCAATTCCCTCTGCCTCCATTTATCATGTTTTTGTTTTTCTTCATTTCTTTTATTAAAAAAAAAAGCTGCCTTCTCAGTTATTTTCCTGCTTTTAGTAATCAGCGAAGCAAAGCAGACAGGTAAACTGAACAATGATGAGAGGCCAAAATCTAATGTGATTATTTCAAGAAATTATTTAAATTCTGGATTAAGTCAAGGTATCTTTCATTCAGCAAATAAGTTAGAAGCTCCTATTATGTGAAAAGCTGTGTACTTTTATAAGACAATGTCTTAAATCCGTGTTAAAGATAAATCATGACTTAGCCAATGTGAATATCTGAACTTGCTGTGAACTCCTGTATATAAGGAGGCCGTGAAGATATAAAGGCAACCGAAATACAGGTAGCTCATGACTTCCTAGGTGCTACTGGTAAACAGGGGGTCAAGATGTGAAGCATTTAAATCAGGGATTCCCTGCATGAGGCAAAGTCCATCTCTCCGAGGAAGTTACAATAGCCTGTCTGTGATCAAATGTATCCAGTGGAGAATGGTAGTAAAGAGCTAGGGTCCAAGCATCAAACTCACCTGGACTTAATTTTGGCTCTACCATTTTATACCTGTGCTTAAGTTTCTTACTGAAATAGCACCCACAGAGCACTTCTCCCAAGCAGGGCACATCATATGCACTCAGTAAATATGAGCTACTATTATGCACTTAAGAAATGATATGCCCATTGAAGTCGCCAAAGAAACATATGAAAATGTATTTTATGTGTGTCCATAGTTATAAGACCAAATTCAATTCAGAACAAATCAGGTATAAAGATACCTAGTAAGAATTAGGTTATAGAAAAATGGGCCATCCAAAAAGCTGAAAAACAGGATGCAGAAATTATC
Source organism: Homo sapiens (assembly GCF_000001405.40). Classification (NCBI taxonomy): domain Eukaryota; kingdom Metazoa; phylum Chordata; class Mammalia; order Primates; family Hominidae; genus Homo; species Homo sapiens. Next base: position 57,487,981 of record NC_000002.12, read on the forward strand.
CAGGCACTCCTAGTTTCCATCTCTTTTTACTTGTTCCAGATGAGGACACAGTCCTATTTATTTGATGCAGAAAACTGGAGAGACCAATGTTTGTTAATATGTCTTCAAATTAAACATCATAGAATTACTATGTTCTTTTGGGATGCCTTTGCAAGCCCCAAGTATAAAAAGAACAAGGAAGAGCTGCCTATCTAAATCTAGAGAGACTTTTTAGTTGATGTCCCCAGATGTTTTGAATTCCTTTTGGAATCAAGGGGCAAGCAAAAGGCATTTTGAGATAATCCAGATCCACTCCTGCTCTTAACTAAACCACTGAGAGTCCTCAATGTTCATGATTGTAGAACTAAAGCAAAGTCCACTAAAGCAATTTAAATTGGGATCAGGAGGGAATCAGCAAATTGCAGGAAGAAACCATGTGGTAAAAACATTCAAGTGGAGACTCAGTGGCACAGAGCAAGAAAACTTTGGGTAGTTGCTCCTGAAGGGAGACATACTGCTATGGTTTGAATGTGTTCTGTCCAAAATTCAGATGTTGCCAATTGATGGTATTAAGAAGTGGGGCCTCTAAGGGGTCACTAGGTCATGAAGTCTCCTCCCTCGTCAATGTGATTCAGGCCTCCATAAAAAAGGTTTCCCACAAAAACTTTCAGGTCACTCCCCCTTCCACCTTCCTCCACTTGAGGAAACAGCCTTCCTTCCCTCTGGAGGATGCAGCCCTCACTGGACAACCAAACCTGCCAGTGCCTTGATCTTTGACTTCTCGGCCTCCAGAAATGTGAGAAAATAAATTTCTGTTCCTGATAAATTACCCAGTCTCAGGTATTCTGTTACAGCAGTACAAATGGACTGAGACACATAGCAAAGGGCTACATCTCTGTTCTTTACCAGCGGACCGTTTGAAATTAGGGCAATCCAAATTCCTATCCCCTGGCTTTTCTTACCCTAGTTCGCTTAGGCAAAGGAAATAGTTGAGGATCTTGAAAGGAGTTGAAAAATGCAAGGGAATTGGGAGAAGCACTGAAAACCCCCTCAAGGCCCCTTTAGACTGTTAGGAGGTAACTTTTCAGACAAAAAAATTGGATGGATGTAGCAATGTGGGGGCAGAGTACCGACAGGTTGCGGAGAAAGAGGCTAAGTTAAAGAGAAGAGTGGGGACAGGGGACTACAAAACAAAGAAAGTTAACTATATGACAAGGTTTTATGTCACATGGGTGGTTATAATTTAAGGACAAATCTGTTTCCATTTATCTTTGTTTAATGAGTGGCCCAGGAGGAGACTTTCCAATATAAAATTTTTAACTATAAGTTACATTCTACCAATAAATGTGGACCCATGCTTTCCAATGGAAGAAAATTCTGGCCTTAGTATTTTTTGATTTGTACAAACATATTGATAACCAAAATTAATGTTCAGTTATTTCAGGGTTTCCTTAAATATTTTCATTGATATAAGTATATACACACCTTTTTTTAAATCCTGAATTTCTATTCACACATTTGTAAATACAAATTTTTTTCAATGAGTGAATAGGTATTTGGCCAAGAGTATTTGGCTGAGGGTATAACTATTCAGAACTACAAGCCTTTTTGTTTCAGGAGTGATCCATGAAATGTGAGGGGAAAAAAAAAAAAGAAAACAAAAACAAAGAAAAAATTTAAAACAAAAAAAACTCACCAAATCAAAAAAACTAAGAAGGAATAACTACTATGTTTTGAACTGCATTTTATTTAGAGAAGAAAAAAACAATTCCTGAGCTGAAGTTACATGAGACAAAGGGGATGGATGGCTAGGGATGTGTCAGATTTCTCTAAGAAGTCCTTTTCTCTTTCTCCTTTGGTTCATTTTAGAGTTTTGCATAGTAAATATTTATTGTATTGGAGGAGTAAAACTATTAGGTTAATTAGTGAAATCAGAAAATTTAGCAGAGTGCTGACATTAGTGGGGAAACAAAAGAATTGAGGTGGAGAAAATGAAGGGCTCGATCCTGAGTGCTCGCGAAGAACTTCATAGGAAATACATAGGACTAGGTAAACAGGAGAGGAGAGGAGTGTGAGAACAGCTTTGTACTCAGATCTGGATTCACAAGTGGCCACAACTAGAGGCATGTCCCCACATCCTGATCTGGAAGAAGTCACAGTACCCCAAACAAACCTTCCTAATGTGAAAGAAGCAACAAGAGAGATGGGTGGATGAGAATCAAACAAGGTCCTACCAACAAGAAGGGTTTCCCCACTTTATTGTAAATAAAAGAAAGTCTAGATAGTCAGGAAGGAGAGATTTTAGGCTTAAATTTGGGATCTTTGAGAGTGTTGAATCCCTGATAAAGGACATCTGAAGAGTTCCTCCCAGGCTGATGGGAGGAAGGGCCTGGGTTTCCTGGACTTCTCGACTACAGAGACAGGAGGCCTTCTGAGAAAAGACAGTAGCAGGGCCTAGTGGTAGGGTTGCATTGCATTCCAGTGTCTTTAAAAGAGTTTAGATCATTCAGATAGTATCGGCAGTCTTTGCTGGAGACATCCCACAGGCAGTTAAAAATGAATTATTGTCAATAAGAAAAAGACAACCCATTAGGAAAAAAATGGCAAAAGATGCTAACAGCATTTCACAAAGTAGGAAACGTGAATGGCCAAAAATTTATTTGAAAAGCTACTCAAGTTCACTGGGTATCAGAGAAATTAAAGTTAGAAATACAATATAATAGTGTTTAACCTCCACAAAATTGGCAAAAATTAAAGTCTGAGGGTGCCTAATATCCCAATGTGTAGTCTTCCACATTTCCAATAGACATACAAACTGGTAAAACCACTTTAGAAAGCAATTTGAGATTTTCCAGTAAATTTGGAAGTAAATATATAAGACTCAAGAATATAACCTGTGGAAACTTTTACATCTCTTGCATCATGAGTCAAATATTAGAACATTTGTCATAGCAGTGTCTATAATCTCAAAACAGGAAATTGCCTAAGTGTTCATTAGTAGAGCATATAAATTGCAACATGTTCAAGTATAGTCATCTGACCCATAACGACTTTTAGGTCAAAAACAGCATGTATGACAGTGGTCCCACACATTATACCATATTTTTACTGTACCTTTTCTATATTTAAATACACAACTACTTACCACTGTGTTACAATTCCCCACAGTATTCAGTACAGTAACATGCTATACAGGTTTGTAGCCTAGGAACAATATGTTATACCACATAGGCTAGGGGTGTAGGAGGCTACACCATCTAGGTGTGTGTAAGTATGCTCTAGAAAGATGAAATCACCTAACAGTGCATTTCTCAGAGTGTATTTCCATTGTTGAGCAATTCATGATTGTTACAGAATAACATGCAACAGTAAAATGATATAAAGCACAGGCATCAATATAATCATAATTATCATAATTTTAAAAAGCAAGTCATGGAAGATTGAGTTCAATATACCCCAGTCATCAAAATCTTAAAATAGACAAAATTAAACACTATGGTTATAGGAAAAGCACATTTTTAAAAATTATTATAAAATAAAGGCAAGGTAACAGGTGGGCCAGAACAGTGCTATGGTGGAAGTAGGGAATTGCGACTTGGGATAGCTCAAGGGAGAGTCAATGTCCTTGGTAACGATTTTTAGACACGAGAGTGGCTATAGAGCTGTTTAGCATTTTGATAACTTGTATATTATCTTACATACTTCTGTATTCCTGGAGTGTTTTAATAAAATATGCTTTAAAAAATGAATTCTCATCATGGCCACTACACAGATCCAAGGAGGAAACTGAAAGCCTGGTTGGCCTATTTATATTTTGGTACAACCTACCAACCCGCGTTACACCGTAGGGGAAGTACTCAGGGTTAAGGGAATTAATGGACCTCAAGTAGACCACTTTAGGCACACATGGCTTGGTATGATAATATATAACAGTTATATCAAAACTGGTGTATAAAGAAAGGGAAAATTTTAGATTAAGAAGCTCTCTTACTAGAGAGAGGTAAAAATAAACTTAGTAAAGAAGAAAATTGAAATAATGAACTTTTTGTGGAAGAGGGGACTCTTGTTACTACTTCAGTGCTCTAGGTTGCTCTTCTTCTGTTGTCATTTCTCTTCTATTCCCAACTTTTCCATGAAACACTGTAATGTGCAAGACTACTACACACAAAATTAGCCTCCACTAATGAGAATCAGGGCTCTGATTCTTGTGGAGTCATTGAGTTCGCACTGAGTGTAACAGAACTCAAGATTGTTCTGGAATAGCTTGCTGTTATTGGAAAGCAAGGATAATGTTTAAAGATGTGTGAAAATGGCTACAAGAACTAGGTTGAAAGTGCTTCTACTGGTCAAACTATGATGATTAGAGCATAAAATTAAAAACAAAGGTTTGCTGCCAATTAGAAGCACTGAAAGATCTTAATTCCACGATGTTGCTCACAGAGTTAACTAATACAAAAAGATGTTACAAAGCAAAGCCACAACTACCAACAGAGTCGTTGTGGTGTTGGCTAAACACAGAAAACATAATCCTTTGTGAGCTGAAGATAAATGGATTTGAGGCAGCAGTGTTTGGATCAAACTGAGAGTCAAATCCACCCAGATAAATGGGTCTGAAATCAGAGTGGAAATGTGGACTGCAAAGAGATGTCAGAGAAAAAGCTGAGTTATTATCCAGAGAAAACTGGGTATTTTTTTTTCTTCCTGAATAACTGTTTAATTTTAGCTGACACTGAATTTGGATCAAACATGGGAGTCTTGAGGTTTTTAAAACCTTCTGTCAAATAAAACGCATATTCATCATGAATGGTATTATAAAACTGATTGTTTAAAGACTATGACATGGCAAGAATCGAGTTTTCTTGATCACAAGACATGCTTTCTTTCAAAGACTGCATTATCCACAGGTATGAGCCTCTATCAGGGACAAGAGGGCCCAGGAGAACCCCTTCCTCACACTATTCCTCTATCTTCATGAAAACTTTATTCATGATAAGATATTGTATCCTTTGAAATGTATCTAACCTTCAGTATATATGTGTGTATATATCAAAGCATATGTATGTGGCTTATTCCCACTATTCCATAAACCATCCAAAACTTTGCAGAAAATACTTTCAGCCTTTCGATGGAGAACATGTACCCACTTCAGCTCTCTATGCTACAGTGCTATAATTTCTATTCTACAATTTCATCTGCAGAGGAAATTGGGGTGCAGTTGTACGGGTCTAGTAGGAATATATCTGAATCCCTCATCCATGCCTTTGCATTCACTCTTCCTTTTAACACAAAATGGGTTACCACTTTGTTCTTCCTCCACAAAGGGTGGCCGGAGAGAGTAATGTCAGAAAGCATGTTTCGTGAGCCTGAGAAATACAACGTTTCAAAACCTCTAAGCTCAGAATATGATCCATTACCCTCTCCCTCAACTTAAGAAACATGAAAAGGAGCTCTTTTGCCCCACTGGATCTTTCTGCAAGCCAAGTCCATGTAGCATGTCTCGATACCCTTAGCATTGGTAAGCCCTAGTTTACTTATCCATAAAACTCAGTGATAGGAAAATAGGCAAATAAACACATTTTAAATGAACTTGTATTCAATATGGAAATAGATCCACAGTGAGTCTTAGTCTGCCCAAGGCACACTCATGGCTCTCATGCTGTGTGAGCTGTGTGTAATGATTTCCCCTTGGGAAAAACATTAAGATCCAAAATATTAAGTTTATTTTCTATTTTAATAAGAATATGTACTCTAACAGAATTTCAATTTTAACTGTTTTCAACAACAAAAACAAACATATCCTCCAGAGTCCTATCCAGTAGAATTCAGGGAGCCACTACCTTTAGCTGGAGAAACTGAACTCTTCAGGTGCTGCACTGAGTATTTAAACTCAGTGAACAGTTTCCTTCTGTAACAGCCAGAAATAAATGTACTTCCTAGACTTGCCCTGGCACCCAGAGGACTAGTACTGAATGCTATATATAGAACTGATATGGTCTGGTTGTGTTCCCACCCAAATATCATATTGAATTCCCACATGTTGTGGGAGGGACCCAGTGGGAAGTAATTGAATCATGGGGGCAGGTCTTTCCCTTGCTGTTCTCGTGATAGTGAATAAATCTCACAAGATCTGATGTTGTTTTTTGTTTTTTGTTCTTTGAGACAGAGTCTCATCCTATTGCCCAGACTGGAGTGCAGTTTCGCAATCTCGGATCACTGCAACCTCCACCTCCCAGGTTCATGGGATTCTCATACCTCAGCCTCCCAAGTAGCTGGGATTACAAGTGTATGTCACCACACCCAGCTAATTTTTGTATTTTTAGTAGAGATGTTTTCACCATGTTGGCCAGGCTGGTCTTGAACTCCTGACCTCAAGTGATCCACCCGCCTCTGCCTCCCAAAGTGTTAGGATTACAGGCGTGAGCCACTGTGCCTGGCCAATCTCATGGTTTTATAAGGGGGAGTTTCCCTACACAAGCTCTCTTCTCTTGTCTGCTGCCATGTGAGACGTCACTTTCACCTTCCACCATGATTGTGAGGCCTCGACAGCCATGTAGAACCTTAAGTCCATTAAACCTCTTTCTTTTGTAAATTGCCCAGTCTTTGGTATGTCTTTATCAGCAGCGTGAAAACAGACTAATACAAGACTCAAAAGCCTGAACATTTTCATGTCATTTTTTTTACATACTTTAAAAATATTTTTGGCTTTTTTTTTTCAAAACGCTTTAGGAATGCATAAAACAAAGAAATTCTAACTAGGAGATAAGTTCAAGTGCCTGAGTGTGGTATGCAGAGTAATGGTTCCATGAAGAAGCCCAAGACCTACGCCCTAATATTTGTGTATGTTTACATGGCAAAAGAGACTTCACAGATGTGATTATTATCTTGAATTGTCTGGGAAAGCCCAGTGTAATCACAAGGGTCCCTTCCTTATGAGAGGAAGGCAGGAGAGTCAGAGTCCAAGGAGATGTAATGAGGAAAGTAGAGAAGAATAGGAGAGAAGACAGGGAGAGAGAGAGGAAAAGAGATTGGAAGGTGCTGTCCTATTGGCTTTGGAGATGGAGGAAGGGCCTGTAAGCCAAGGAATGCAGGCAGCTTCTAGAAGCTGGAAAAGACAGGGAATAAGATTCTCTCCTACAGTCCCAGAGCCTACAGAAGGAAACACAATCCTGCTAACACCTTGATTTTAGGACTTCTGATCTGCAGGCAGTGTAAGACAACAAATTTGTATTGTTTTAAGTCACTATATTTGTTGAAATTTGTTATAGCAGTGATAGAATACAAATATTATGAATCAAATTAAAGGGTCAAAAATACCATAAACTTCTAATCGTGAACAAAAACTGCAATTCTGTTTGGGTTTGGGATTCTAAGTGAAAACTTGATCAATTGGAACCTGACAGCCACGATTGTGCCTAACAGAAAAGACACACAGTCTGTGACTGTTATGTGTAAACTAGTTTATAATATTATGGAAGATATAAAAGAAACACAAAATAGCCATACATATAGAGATTAAGAATAAGTACCTTTACTTTTCAGAAATGCAGACTCTGAAAAAAGATATGATCGAAATTATTAACTCAAAAAATCTCATGACCTTGATTGGATGACCTTTTTCAGCATCTTTTATGAGTAAATATTTGACTGTTTGAAGATACAGAGAGAATAAATAGCAATATGCTCTTAAATATTTGTTTCCTTTCCCTTTCCCTTCAGCTTTGCATAAACCGAACTTATTCCACTTAGGAACTACACAAATAGTTGAAGGAGGAATGAAGGTTGTAGCAAGCATATTTTCCAAGAGAAGTATTTTTTTTCTTTTTGCATTTGAAATTAGCCACAGCTTAGCAACACCAGCTTCCGAAACATTTATACCAAGCAAAGTGCTGCATATGCTGTTGTGCTTGATGTACCGAAACAGCACCAAGCAGGGGCACCCAAAAGAGTGGGAAAGGGAGAATCTCAAAACACGGCTATTTTCCTGTTGTTGCTGCTGTTCAATCGAGAGTATCATGTCTTTAGCATTAGTTCAATATTGGAGAAAGCATATGATCTTTGTGTTTAACTATGAGATGGTGCCTACAATTTCGGGGATCATTATTATTATTACTAAAGATTAGTTTCCAAAATTGAAGAATAAGGAACTCTCGCTCATCTCCTGACTCCAGTGCAATTTCCCCTCTCAAAATGTCGAAGAGGATGCATACTGTCTCTATTTCCCGCTTGAATTTTCTGGAATGGTAAGGCAGGGAGCAGGTTTCCAAGTCAGTTTAGGTCAGAGGATAGCTTCTACTCACTCTTCTCTCCTCTAACAATATGAGGAGCACTTAATCTATTTTCTCCTTCATTTGATGCTCTTTAGTACTAACTTCCAGATAACTCCTTTTGCTCGCTGAAGATAATGAGATTTACCAAAAATCATATGCAAAATAGCTGGGAAAACATGTGGTTTGATTTCCAAACAGATTAAAGTGAAGCAAGGGCAGCACCCAAACATCTGTCCCAGGACACGTTCCTTCCACTAAAAGGTTAGAGACTTGCTGCTGTCCCCCTGCAGAGAGGGATTTTCATTGCTCTGGCGCTGACGCTGGAGAACATGCAGACACCACAAATGCTTTCTTGGATACTTTATTTATTTATTTTTGAGACGGAGTCTCACTCTGTCGCCCAGGCTGGAGTGCAGTGGCGCGACCTCGGCTCAGTGCAAGCTCCGCCTCCCGGGTTCATGCCATTCTCCTGCCTCAGCCTCCCTAGTAGCTGGGACTACAGGCGCCCGCCACCATGCCCAGCTAATTTTTTTGTATTTTTAGTAGAGACGGGGTTTCACCATATTAGCCAGGATGGTCTCGATCTCCTGACCTGCTGATCCGCATGCCTCGGCCTTCCAAAGTGCTGGGATTACAGCGTGAGCCACCGCGCCCGGCCTCTTGGATACCTTTTTGTACCTTTATCATGCTTCCCCCTGAGGTTCTTGAAAGGAGTTTTCAGTGTAGGAGAGAGGTTTTGGTTTGGGAGACAAAAAAAAAAAAAAAAAAAAAAACAGAGACTTTCGAACAAAACATATTTGGGTCAATCGCAGTCCTGCTATTTTCTGGTTGTTATAACTTGGATATAATAGATATTCACAGAGGTTTGGATTAATCATTTGTTAAAGAAAGTAATATGGCGTAGCTTGCAGCATTGTTATAGGGTGATTGAAAAAGAAAACCCTCATTATCATCTTTTACATTCTAAAAAGATGAGCTGTTACTAAAATCCACAGACATCTCTGTATTGTTAGAGTCTGCATTATACTTTTAGACTCCACCTTTACTGTTTAATATTTTCATAACTGCATAGATTGTCTGTGACTAAGATCACAACAGCCTCTTCAGATACAAAGGATGCTGCTACCAAAATCTGGCCCATCAAAGTACATGCTGTTCTGGAAAGAGTGGAAGGATTCCCTTATTAGAGAAAGGAAAGAAAAAAAGCCAATTTTCTATGTAGAAAAATTGTGACCTGGTTAATTCTGAATGGCCAGGTAAACAGAACAAATCACCTGCCTGCTTAGAAAGCTGCAGGTCTGACTAGTAACATTACCTTTGGAATTCTGACTTGCCTGGCTATGTCCACATGTGCTGGTGATTGGTGACCACAGTGTGCATTTCCCTGATAACCATGAACTCTGTTATAAAACCCTCAAATATAACTGCTTTGTTTGGCCGGCTGAACCTCTCAAGGAGTGGCTGCCCTCTGGTGGTAGCTGTATTCCTCACACCCAAATGTTTATTGGGTTTATTTTGTTTTTTTCTTTTCACTTCTGTTCCACAGCACAAAGCCAGTGTGGCTATTTCATTTAGTTTCTCAGGCCACAGCTCCCTGTACAGACCTCTAGTGAATGGGAAACCACTGACTTTGAACTGAATGTTTTCTTCCTTGATTTCTGTTTTCTGAAGCCGTGCCAAAACTTGAAGATATTTATCATTTCCTCTTTGCATTCTTTTTTTTCAAACCAAGGGTATGTCAGGTAAGGTAGAATCCAGGTTCCTTATCAGAAGATTTTCTAACGTCTCTTCTAAAAGGTGACAAATGGAACTGAATATTTAATCCAACTTTAATCTAGACAGGGCAAAGCAGAGTTTGGATGCTGCTTCTCAGACATCTGGGCTTGAAACACTCATACCCACGTCTCAGGAGCTTTCCTCCACTGTCCAAATCTGTTCACTCCTGCTAATCCCTTGCACTCTGTACTGCCAACTGACATTTCTTACCAAAGTCCTCCAAGCACCTCAAATTATCTAATAGAAAATCAAAATAATTTCCCCAAAACCCGTTCCTCCTCATTCTGTGTTCAATGCCTTGTATGAAGACTCCACAATTTGCTCAATTCCTAGCCTATCAAAAGGACCTTTCCTTGGTTCTCATCATTGTCTCCATTTTCAATTGCAGGTCTCTGTCTTAGCAGGTCTGTCACCTCAGCTCCACGATGATTCCCTTCTGGCTCTATCACTACTGCCCCAATCACGTCTAATGTGTATACCTGACAGTGATAACTCCTTCCTTGAAATAAATTTCACCATCTACAGAATAAAATCCAAACTCTTTGGCAAGTCTCTCTGGGCCCTTCCTAATGTGCAGGAGCCAATCTCCCTTCCCAGGCTGCTTGCCCACCTATGAACCATCCCCAGTTATACCACAGCTGGTTTCCCCTCCATATATTTACCATTCAATCTGGTAAAATTTTGTCTACCCAGCTCAAAGGATTTCTTTACTCCAAAAAAATTCTAGATTTCCTCTACTACAACCAAGCTAATGAGACTCTGTTTCCTAGAACTGGGACTTCTTCCTTGTGGTCAGCTAAAATTTTCACCTATTATGTTTTCACCTAAACTAGTATAAACGCAGATCTCCCTATCCTATAGTTGCTGTAGTTGATTTTTAGCTGGGTGAGGTAGTCACCCAACAACTACCAATAGTCAATATTTGAATTTATATGGGTTTCAGTTTGAGTGTTACGGTTATGAAGGCAGTCTCTGAAGCCAGAAGTATATATTCAAATACCAATTATATGTTTTACTAGACCTAAGGCATACATACACCTCTAAAACCTTTCTTATAACCTTTGAAATTGAAATAAGTGAAGAAATTACTTATCAAAACAGTTGCAAAGATTAATTGGGATAATCCAGGGTAAACATTTTGCCCAATGTCTACCATATAGTAACTACTCTACAAATGTTAGCCATAAAACAAAAATTGTCATTCATACACCCCGTCTACATGCATACCTATTGTGCATACAATTCCACAAGGAAAACAATATGAATAATATAATGTAAATACCTTGAAGAGAAGTCAATTTCACTGAGAATATTTGGATTCTATGACTGTTACCAATTTGGCTTGATTCACCGTAGATACTAAGTGTTGCCTACTTCCCTTCAAAAACAAAACCTTACACAATGTCCATTTCAATAAGTAAATACTGTAGAAAATTGAACCACTGCTTTATTGGAGCTAAGATCCACAGAGTTGTATTGCAGCTTGAAAAGCAAGTAATTTGTTTGGCTGAAATCCAGTGCTGGAGAAACTAGAAAATTAATATTCCCAGGTTGACAATAAGATGCTTCATTGTTTATCTTGCATATGTAGATACTGTAATTTTTTTTTACTGCAGCAAGATATCACTTAGTGGCTCTGTGACTCATTTTCCCCACTTATAAAATATTATTATGGAATCATAACAGGAGCTACTGCAGAGAAATGTTTTGAGTATAAAATGTGTTTAATATATTTAAAGTGCTTATAACCGGTGACTGACCTACAAGAACTTTAAATAAGTATTAGATACTACTTTCATAAAAAACATGGGAATAACAAATTGCTTTAGGGTATTCATTGCAGATAATAGACAGACATGGAGTAAACAAAGGTAAATGAATAAATAAATACATGAAAGAAAATCATAAAATCATTTCCATTTGACCCTATGAGAGCATTTACTATTACAATTATATCACGGGAATGGTGGCATTAGATATGGCTGTTCAACACATGGCCAATAGCTTAAGATTTACACAGAGAATGTGAATATTTTGGTGTTTTAAATGTGTACGAAGAGTATTCAAATGCTAATTTGGAACAACTTTACATCTGTTTTGTCTTGAAAAACACAAAGAATAACTGTCAAGGGAAAAAATGCATTTGTTCTCCTGATCATTTAAGAAAGTCTACTAAGTGTCCAGTACTGATTAGTATAATTATAGAGGCAAAATATGTTCAAAATATATGTTTCTATCAACAGTAGTTAATATTCTTTTCTACAATCAAATCACCTACATGGTAGAATCTAATTATATTTCCCTTTGCACCCTGGAAATTACTCCAATTGGCTGATCAGAAACCCCTGGGATGCATTCTAAAAATACTTGTTTCAAGGCCCCACTCAGACCTACTGTATGAGAAACTCTCAGGATGTACCCTAGGAATCAGCATGCTCAACTAGCACTGCAGGAGTTTTGGTTACCTTTCAATTCGGGAGCAGTCATTTGTGTGTCCGGTAAGCTTTTGCACATCATAAGTACTAGGTAGAAAGCAATTTAGAGTTCAAAATAGAAAATTCTTATTTCAACTTCTGGGTGTATTATTTGCCAAGAGGGTGACGTTAGACAAGTAACTTAATATCTTTAAAACCATCAGTTTCCTCAACTGTAAAATGAACTTAATTATACCTACCTTATATGGTTACTGTGAAGATGAAATGAAATCAAAATTGAAGTGCAAAATACAATGTCTGACACACAGTATATAGTTTATAAATGATAGTTATTATGAAGGTGATATATTTTCAATAAAAGCAGTTGGGATTAGATGATATAATTACTTAATTAAATGGCTTTTGAAAGTGTCCTTAAATATTATTCCCCTGATTTCCAGGAACAAGAGGGGTGGCATCATTAAATATTTCCACCTTTTGCCCACTCCTGTTAATACTAGCATCAATGACATACCATTCTGTAGATTGCTTATTTGTAGAGTAGCACTTCTGGAAGGGTCTTGTTTGTCCTTGGACAGACAATAGAACTAGGGCATTGGTTTTCTGAATAATATTTTGGGAAGTGATGCTTTAAAATAAACCTCAGATCAAAGCTGGCATTACTGACATAGTACTTGAGACTTTCTCTAAAATTAGATAGGATTCCCAGGAGAAGGGAGTAGAGAGTACCATTGTGACTTGGGGTTTCTATTCACTCTATTTAGTCTGTTTTTCATTTATTGAGTGATCCTAAGGCACATTGTGTTACCCTTTTAAAAATGTCCCATGTGGAATTTTTAACATGCAAAAAGACCTAATAAAATGTGAGCTTCTCAGCGATAATGGTGCAATTCACTTATCAAATTCCCATTGTTTAGTTCTCTTTGAAACCTAGAATCCCAGAGATTATTGACCCTGCCAAGTTTTACAGAAGAGGGCAGTTTACATAATGAAATCTGCTGTTTCATATTCACACTAGATAAAACCATCAATTAAGGTATCAACTAAAGTGTCCATACAGACTCCTTATCGTGAAATATTAGCATTTTCAAGATCATTAAGTTTCTGTTTTTATCATTGTGTAGTTAAATTAAAATAAAAAGCAGATATAATCTTGTCTTTGAATTTAGTATTGAAGGAGGAAAGTAACTATAAGCAACCTGTAACCTTCCAAAATGAGCAGAGTTGGTCATCTATATCAGATTCAAAGAGGTTGGTCATGGAACTATGAGGAAGCAGAATCATAGGTCTTAGGAACCTGGGTTTTTTAGGGCTGAGTTTCAATTCAATCTGAGCTACTTTCTACCTATGTGACTTTGGGCAAATCACTTAGTTTATCTGAATATCAGATTCTTTTTTGTCTGTCAAAAAATATATATGTCACAGGATCATTATACAGATTAAATAATATAAAGAAGGTATTGCTTTTGAATAGTGTCTAACACATCATAAGTAAGCAATAAGTAGTAGCTATTGTTGGCCCAAACCAGATTTCAACATAGAGAATAACCCTTGTAAACATATCTGGAGAATGTACCTACCTAAACAAATATCAAGCACCCTGTTATTTTGGGTAGCCATAGGATAAATTGTTATTACGTATTCACATTTTGTAGAAATAAGTTACCACTATTCAATTGCAATTGATAATTCAGATGGACAGTATATTTCTGCAAAAAGAAGTATTTACTGTCATACTGTTAAACTTCTGCTGTATGTCAGGTACAGTCCTTGGCACAGTGAATGTTATAATACAACCATAGCTCTAGTCTTTATGGAGTTTGAGTCCAGTGGGGAAGACAGATTATGGTAATTAAACAAACATAAATTTAATAACTATAAATTGAGTGTTTCTTTGGCTCTTCCCTTACTAGAATCTACATATTCTGAGGTCCAAAATTCCATGACTTGATTAACCTTGATCCCACCTCTTTCTTATTGAAGTATAGGTTCTGGATTACGGATCTCATCACATTGTTACTGCACTAAGATCAAATGTTATTATTTATAGAAATCCAATGTTCAATTTTCAAAACTTAATGAATTATTAGTGCTTCAGTATATTGTATTTAATATTTATTCATTGGGTTCCAAATACACAATATATAATCTCTTAACCCAAAAGCCATATTTTCTCAGAAATACAATCAAATAAATATGAGATGGAATCTTAATCATGTTCTCATCACAATCTGTTGCCTCATTTCTCTTTAGAATAACAACAATAGCAACATGACTGCCTCACAATTTTCTGATTACACTTATTTTGTAGGAGAAATTTTGTAGAATAAATATGATTTGAAGACAACTCTCAACAACAGGGAATTGTGATTGTGTAAAAGAAAGGCTTATGCTAGATTGCAGGTAGTCATGAAACACTTTTCTGAGAAAAAGATATTTAAGCCAACCCCTAAAGAATTAATAGGAATAATTTTGACTCATAGTGAGGTAAGGAATATTGTAGACACAATGCAGCATAATGGCGAGTGTATGAAGGAGAAAACAGTGTAAACATCTGTTCCATGCATTTTGAGAATATTTAGGGTAAGAAATGTGATGAGAAGTAAGATTGGTGGAGTTTGCAGAGGCTAGTTTATGTAGTGTTTGGAAGGCTAGGTATTTTGGACTCAATCGCAGATACAAAAAAAGTTGTCAGAGAATGTGGCACATATGTCAGTCAGATCAGAAAGCACAAGCAAGTGTCTGCTGTAATAAGAAATGAATCCCAAAGTGGTTGTAAAAACAATGTTTTTTGGTTTTTAAAAAACAAACATCTTTTTTTTTTGCTCATATTAAATGTCTATTATGGCACCATTGGGTCTCTACTCCATATCTAGTAGAGAAAGACAGAAAATATTTTGAACAATGTTAAGATATACCACAGAGCAAAAGAATGAGAAGATTCAGCTTGTCTTTTTAAAAGATTAGCAATCTGAGGATGAAGAAGAAAATAAAGAACACAAAACCAGATGTGGGAAAACCAACTAGGAGTTTGTTGTAGGATTAAAGGAAATAGAAAATGGTGACTTTACCTAAGGTCTAGCTGAGAGAAAGAGCAAGCTGCATAGATTCAGGATATACTTTCTCAGCAGAGTAGGCAAGATGGCTTTGTTCCACACTGCAGACCAGGGACACATAGTAACATTGGCTCAGTCTATTAGAACTTGAAGAATTTACTATTTAAAATACACAAAAGAAGAAAAAAATTAAGACCAAACACAAGAATTATGTTAGTAAAAATGTTCACTACTGTACCCTGGGAGTGATTGGACGTGTTCTGCCTTCCCTGCTGTATTAGTCTGTTCTCACACTACTAATGAAGACATGCCAGAGACTGGGTAATTTATAAAGGAAAGAGGTTTAATTGACTCACAGTTTCATATGGCCAGGGAGGCCTCACAATCATGGCAGAAGGTGAATGAGGAGCAAAGTCACATCTTACATGGCAGCAGGTAGGAGAGCTTGTGCACGGGAACTCTCATTTATAAAACCATCAGATCTTGTGAGACTTATTCACTACCATGAGAACAATATGGGTGAAACTGCCCCCATGACTCAATTATATCCACCTGGCCCCGCCCTTGACACGTGGAGATTATTACAATTCAAGGTGAGATTTGTGTGAGGACACAGCCAAATCATGTCACCTGCTGATGTTACAATGGAAGAGTATAGTGCTAGAACTCAGGATGCCAGAAGCTAGCTAGAATTACTCATCAGTCCTTTCAGCTTTCAAATTGGGATTATAATACCTACTGTTCTTAACTCAGAGGTTTAAAATGTATAAGATGCTATATGAATATTAATAGAATAAAAGATTTGCTCTCTACTAACCACTTCAAATAATAAATAATAGAATATGAGAAAGGAATGTGTGTAAGGAGAGGAAGCATTGCATCTGACATCAGAAGATTCTGATTTAATATTGGCAATGACTTTTACCTACTTACCTTAGGTTTTAAAAAATATTCCTTAAAATAAAAATGTGACCTTAGAAAAATTATCCAATTTTTCAGGGCACCAGTGTAGTCATCATGAAAGGGAAAAATACTAATTACCTACATATTGTTATGAGAATTAAATAACATAATTAATCATACCTCCTAGTTCAGTGTTACTTGACTCAGACTGGCAGGGAGCTGTCAAAATACATCATTTTTTAATTAAAATTTTTATTTTGAGATCATTGTAGATTCACATGTATTTGTAAGAAATAATACAGAGAGATTTCATTTATCCAGTTTTACCCAGTTTCTTTCAATGGTAACACCTTCCAACATTACGGTAAAATGTAACAACCAAGATATTTACATTGATTCTGTGAAGATACAGACTATTTCCAACAAATAGTCTCTCTCATGTTGTCTTTTTATAAACACACCTGCTTCCCTCATGCCCCCAACCCTTCCTTAATTTCTGGCAATCATTAATCTTTTTTTCATTTTTATAACTGTGACATTTCAATAATTCGATAAAAGTGAAATTATACCTTATGTGACATTTTTGGGTTGGCTTTTTACAGTCAGCATAATTCTCTTAAGATCCATCCAGATTGTTGTGCATGACAATAATGCATTCCTTTTTCTTGCTGAGCAGTATTCCATGCTAGACATATGTCATAGTTTATTTAAACATTCAACCATTGAAGAACATCAGAGTTGTGTCTTTTTTGGAGATATTGTGAATAAAGTTGCTATAAATATTCATGCACATGTTTTCGTATTAACATATTTTCATTTATGTGAGATAAATTTCTAAAGGTACAAATAATGGGGCATAAAGTAGTTGTACACTTACTTTTTTAAATAAACTATCAAAGTATTTTCCAGAATGCCTGTATAATTTTACATTCCCATTATCAATGTACGTGTGATCTAGTTTGTCCATATCTTTGCCAGCATTTGATATTTTACTTTTTTTAGGCCATTCCGAGAAATATATAGTAATATCTCATTGTGATTTTAATTTGCGTTTTCCTAATGGCTAACGATGTTAAACATGTTTTTATAAGCTTATTTGTCATCTATATATTCTTTTTGAGAAGTTACTTCTTTGTGTTTTTTGTTCATTCCATAATTGGATTTTTGCTTACTATTAAGTTTTATGAATCCTTTATATAGTCTACATCTTAGTAATTTGTTGCATATAGGGTTTGTAAATATTTTCTTTCACCCTGTAGCTTGTCTATTTATCTTCTTAATGAGGTTCTTCATGGAGCAAAAGTTGTTTTTTTAAAATTTATTATTATTATTTTTTGAGACAGGGTCTCACTGTGTTGCCCAGGCTGGAGTGCAGTGGTGAGATCTCTGCTCTCTGCAACCTCTGCTTCCCGGGTTCAAGCAATTCTACCGCCTCAGCCTCCCGAGTAGCTGGGATTCCAGACAAATGCTACCACGCCCGGCTAGTTTTTGTATTTTTAGTAGAGGCGAGGTTTCACCATGTTACCAGGCTGGTCTCAAACTCCTGACCTCAAGTGATCTGCCTGCCTTGGCTTCCCAAAGTGCTGGGATTATAGGCATGAGCCACTGCGCCCGGCCATTTTTTTTTTTTAATAGAGTTCAGTTAATCATGTTTTTCTCTTATGAAACATGCTTTTGTTTTCAAGTTTAAGAACTGTTTGCTAAGTCTACATCCCCCAGATATTATCCTATTTTTGTCTAAGTGTTTTATAGTTTTATGTTTTATATTTAAGTAGATGATCCAATTTGAGTTAAAGTTTATTGTAATGGGTGTTAAATTGCTCTAGCACTATTTGTTGAGAATACTATCTTTCCTCTATTCAATTGCTTTTGCACATTTTAAAGAAATAAGTTGGGCAGAATTTTGTAATCAATTTCTGAGTTCTCTATTCTGTTCCTTTGTTCTATGCCTACCCCTCCCTACAAGCCATGAAAAATCCATTTGGGAGGAATTGGAATTGCTGCTATACTAACTCTTCTAATCCATGAACACGGTAACACGGTATGTCTCTTAGTTTATTTAGGTCATCTTTGATTTATTTTACAGCATTTTGTAGTTATCAGCATGTAAGTATGGCATAATTTTTGTTAAAAATATACCTATTTAATATTACAAACAATTATAATTTTAATGTTCACGTATTTATTGCTAGTATATAGAAATAAAATTATTTTTTGTTGTTGACTTAGTACTCAGCAAACTTATGGAAGTCATTTATTAGTTTTAGGCATTTTTATTGTCAATTTCTTGGGATTTTCTATGTAGGCGTAATGTAATCTACTAATAGGGATAGTTTTATGTCTTTATTTCTGATCTTTATGTCTTTTATTCAATTTTCTTGCCTACTACACTGGCTAGACCATTCAATACTGTATTGAATAAGAGTGGTGAGAGCAGACATCTCTGTAGCACAAGAGGGTTTGTGAAGACCATCACCCTGCCCTTGCTGCGAGATGAGACCTGCGGGCCGTGGGTTACTGACACCTGCTATTTAAACTGATCTTGCTCTGTCTCTTCTCTATGTGGATAAAATACTGTTCCATCTAGTGCCTATAGGAGTTACGTCTTTCTTTTTATCTTGGTTTGGACTGCTGTAACAAAATATTGTATGGCTTAAAAACGGATATTTATTTCTCATCGTTCTGGAAGCTCGAAGTCCAAGATCAGGGTGCCAGCATGGTCAGGTTCTTGGTTCACAGAAGGTTGCCTTCTCACTGTATCTTCATATGCTGGGGTGAGGAGTGTATTGGAGAAGAGGAAGCTTTGGTCCCTTCATCTACTTACAGGAGTACTAGTCTCATCTTGGAGGCCCCACCCTCATAGGTAAAGGCCCCACTTCCAAATACCATTACCTTTGGGATTAGGGCTTCAACATATGAATTTGGGGAGAACAAAACCATTCGGTTCAGAGCAGTTGAAGACTCCAATACCTGCAAACTGTTCCAATTCCTGAATTGACATTGTGAGTCTACTGCTTCTTGTGGTAGGAAACAGATGTCACTTGCTCAACATTTTTATGTAATGTGCAGGGTTTTTAGTTGTACCTAGTAGAAGAAGTAGAAGCAAACGTATCTCCTTCAACTTAGAAGCAAAAGTCCATATTGTTTCTTTTTTTTAATCAATGCATTCTTATTTAGAATAAACATTTTTGAGAATGGATGTGTTCATTTACATTTAAGTAGAGACAATATTTTCCTCATGGCAGATCTGGTTCTGTGTCACCCAAATTTGTATTTATGATTCTTACCAACTGTATTTCAATAATAAGAGGCAATTTATTGCAGTGTGTCACCTAGATTTCTACTTTTCATTCAGGATATTCAAGAACAAAGAATCTTACTTAATAAAGCACTTTGTATGGAAAAAAAAAAAACTATAGGCGATCTATTCAAACACTGACTTGAAGCTAATGGTATTAGGATATCCTGGCTGTAAAGTATCAGAACCATCTGGTCTAACCCATGGATTAAAATATCAATGTATCAGTCAGTGTTCTCCGAATCAGCTGTGTTTGTGAGTCTGGGACTGCTTTAGTGACAAACATTCATTTGATGCCAGAGTTGTAGCTGCCCTAATTTTAAAGCAGTTGATGGCTTCCCGTGTTAAGTGCCATTATCACAAATTGATGCAAAACTTACAGCAGCTGCTGCTGACATTCTCCTTCTCTCACATCCCATGCTATGTGAATCACAGGTGATAAATATTCAATTGTTTGCAGTGAGAAGTGGTTGAAACATTATGACAGAAAACATATCTGTTTTCTCCTCCACTGATGAGAAAGCTCCCCAAATTCAACATAAGTGAAGGATTGATGGGGAATTCCAGTTGCAATACAAGGATTATTTAATTATTTTGTGTATGCAGCCATTAAGCCCCACTCACATTTACATGCTAAACATTTAAATATTATTGTTAAACACAAAGCCCTTTTGTGAGATTGTGTTGTTTCTCTAAAACTGTAGTTCTCAAGTGTAATTCTTGATCCAGCAGCATGAGTATCACCAGTGAGCTTACAGAAATGCAAGTGATCACACTCCATGCCAGACCTCCTAAAGCAGATATTCTGGAGGTGAGTGCACAGCAATCTAGGCTTAATAAATCCTCCAGGAGATTCTGATGCAGGTTCAAGTTTGCGAATCATTGCCATGTCAGCACAGCAAGAAACAACAGTGGCTCTGCTAGAGAAATCTCACAATTTGAAAACTTTTCACTTCTATGACTACCCAGCTTTCTCTAAATTTAGAATGAAAAAAGTCAGTAAACCTACAGCTGGCTCCTAATTTCAGTTAGATACCAATTCATTACAAATTTAGCACCTTCCCACAGAGAAGCTCTAATCCCTGGGCAAACACCATATCCTCCTTCTTTATTAATTGCTGCTGAGGAGGTGGATGGCTGATGCTCTCTTTATTGCATAATTGGTGGTAAAGCCTGGTTATCATGACCTTCCCAAGCATAAGCCATGAATTAAGTATGGGGTTTCTAGATTCAATGTCCTTTTCAGCTGAATCAACAACAGCTTTAAGTGTGCTCTTTATCTAAATCAGAAAGACATATTGTCACTATCTTGAATTGACCTTAGTATCAGTCTACTGGAAAAATAAAAGGGAAACAAATTAAGAATAATAAAATAAAAATACAACTCCAAAGGAATTTCACCTTCATTGACTAATACCTATAAAATAGAACCTATACATATGTATTGTCGTTTGAATTCACATGACTATAAAGGAAGGTAAGATTTCTTCTCAACAATTTATGAATTAGAATGCTGATTCAGAGTGTTACATAATTTACCTGAGGTCACATAGCTAGGAAATAGCACAGGGCAATTCAAAGCCAGGTCTGTCAGGCTCCAAACTCTATTTCTCTGTAGTATATGACATTGCTCTTTCTAAATACATGGCCTTCACGGATGGAGCTCTCAAGTGAACTGAGCTAACTGAAGATTCAATGACTTGCATAAACTATTTCCTCCTCATCATCTGATTATGTATTTAAAGGACATCTTGCGTGCCCTCCAAACCCCACTCTTTCTGTAAGGTCCCCTTTAATTTGCATTTTCTTGTGAAGCCTGCATCTGTGCCATTGCAGTGATTATATACTCTCCTTAACACAGATAGAAATTAGGGTGTGTTTCCTTTCCTTTGTAATTTAATTAAATGCATGTCCCAAATATATATTTAATCTTTTAAAGTTTGTTTTCACTCTATAACAAAATACTTGAGGTCAAGAGCTATGTATTCTATTTATTTCCCTGGCAGCTCCTTCAGTCTCCAGTACCATGTCATGCGGAGACATTTATGCTCAAGAATATCTGTTTACGTACATTTCAGTATCCTACAATGCAGTGTCTGATAAAGCATTTGTGAAGAAATGTATTGACCTAAGGAATCCTAGGAGTGCCAAGATGAAAATGCATTATTTCTGTGTATAAGGAGTCACAGTTCAGTATAGAGAATCATGGAAGAAAACTTCCCAGTGCAGTGGTACACTGATGTACTGGCCATTGGTCATTTAGAGGTATGAGAGAAGCTAGGTCTTATGTAACAGCTAGAAAAGTCTTGTACAAACTAGACCTTGAGACACAACTAGAAAAATAGGAAAAACTTTGTTGATACACATGAAAAATAACATTCCAGGCAGGAAGTATCTCATCTGCAATATGTGTAAAGAAGGAGGATGGTTTTGGGGATCATACGGATTCCAGTACTACTAAAGAATAAGAAGTGAAGGTACAATGGGTTGAATAGCATTCTCAAAAAGATATACCCAAGTCCAACCACTAGTACTTTGAGTGTGACCTGATTTAGAAATATGGCCTTTGCACATATAATTAAGGTTCTCAAGATAAGATCATTCTAGATTTAGGGTGGGCCCTAAATCCAATGACTGGTGTCCTTATAAGAGAAAGTTAGGGGAGATTTGACAAACAGAAGAAGAAAAAGGAAAGCCAAGTGACGTCGGATTCAGAGACTGGAGTTACGCAGCCTCAAGCAGAGGAAAGCCAAAGTTGCTGGCAGTCATCAGAAGCCAGGAGAGAAGCATGGACTGAACTCTTCTTCAGAGTCTCCCGAGTAAATCACCTTAATTTTGAACTTCTGGCCTCCAGAACAGTGAGAGAATAAATTTCTGTTGTTTGATGCCACCACATTTGTAGTAATTTGTTATGGCAGCCCTAGGAAACCGATACAGAAGGAAATTAAGAAGCACAGTGATGGGACAGACACCTAGGGACAGGTAGCTAGTCTTCAGATCAAAAATATTTTGGGATGATATGTGCTCAGCAGATTGGACATTTTCTGGCATGCTATAGAAACCACTGAAGAATTTTAAGAAGGAGACTAAATCTGAGTATTAGAAAGTGATATGGTTTGGCTGTGTCCCCATCGAAATCTTGAATTGTAGTTCCCATAATCACCACATGTCTTGGGAGGGACCCAGTGGGAGGTAACTGAATTATGGGGGTGGTTAGCCCCGTGCTATTCTTGTGATAGTGAGTGAGTTCTCACGAGATCCGATGGTTTTACAGGGGTTTTTCCCCCTTTGCTCAGCACTTCTCCTTCCTGCTGCCTTATAAAGAAGGACATGTTTGCTCCCCCTTCTGCCATGATTGTAAATTCCTGAGGCCTCCCCAGCCATGCTGCACTGTGAGTCAATTAAACCTCTTTCCTTCATAAATTACCCAGTCTTGGGTATGTCTTTATTAGCAGCATGAGAACACACTAATATAGAAAAACTGTTCTTTGGTAGGATAGATATAAAAGATAGAAGGACTGATAAAGAAGCTATCTTAATAGTTCCACTGGGAAACATCTAAACAAGTTCAGTGGTTGCAGGGACAGAAAACAGGGAAAGGATATGAGAAATAAATAAATAAATAAATAAATAAATAAATAAATAAATAAATAGACAGACCTTGGGCTTGATTGTATATGAAATCAAAGAAGGCAGGAAAAACTTACATTCGTATTATGTGTACTATTTTATAACTGTTATATGTATTATTTTTAAGCCAATATGCTCACCTAGCAATATAATTGTGAGCATAAATAAAAGACTTAAAACACTTGCACAAAATCATTTAATAACTGAATAATATACCATCACAGAAATTAGCCATGATTTGTATAACCAATCCTGTTTTTGTCGGTTTTAAAATATTTATTTCTTATAAATATTATTGTAGTCAATGCTCTGGAATACATACATATATATGTATATATATACACACACACACACATATGTATACCATGTTTGTACATTCTCTATTTCTTTATTTCCTCAGAATAAACTCCCAAGCTGAGTAAAAGTATATGTAGATTGTAAGCCTTTTTTTTTATTTTTGAATATTGTCATTTTGTTCCCTAGAAAGTTTTGTGGGTTTTTTTTTTTTTGTCAATTTAAATATCTGCCAGCCATGCATAAGAGAGGCTGTTACTTTCTTCTCTCCCAGAGAACTGATATTCTTCAAAGATTGTACTCCTAATAGGCAACAAAATGCAGCAAGTTGCTGTTTAATTTACATTTCTCCAATTATAATTAGACTGAGCATTTTAGAATGATCTTTTCACCAGCCTTTAGCACATCATCCTTTCTAGCATGTCTGATTACGTCCTGTGCCCATTTTGGTATTGGGTCTTTTTTCCATTGATTCTTAAGAGATTACTTACATATTGAGTGTCATATTTTTTATCAATAATTCTTGCAAATATTTATCTAACATTTTTATTTGTTTACTTTTACACTCTCTCAATTCACAAAAGTATTATTTTTGTTAAATAATTTGTTAAATTATTTTTGTTAAATCTATCACTATTTTCCTCAATGAATGATGTCTTTCGTATTATGTTTAATTTTCTTTGCCCCGAAACTTTTTAAATATTTAGCAATGTTTTCTTCTAGTAGTTTTTTAGGTGAAACTTTTTAATGTAGTTAATCCATCTTGAATGTATTTGAGAAAAATTGTGAAGCAGGGATCCATATTCACTATTTTTGTCATACACCTAGCTATTGAATTAACACTATATTTGAAGCCAAAACAGGTTTGAATAATGCCTAACATTATCACTGAGAAGTGAGATAGTCTACAAACTGTGAAAATGGTTCTCTTATTCTTCAGTTTTAAGATAGAATGGTTGTGATGAAAGCCTGACTCAAGTGAGTTTTCAATAGAATAGAGAGGTTTGGAGACAAAAAAAAATGTAAATTATTGTGAAGAGTTTTAGTGTAAACTGCAGCAAAGAAATATAGTAGCAGCTGGAAGAAATGCAGTTCAGAATTTATGAAATCTTTAACATAATTTATCAAATAGTCTCTATTTTTCTGAGCATAGGATGAATGATTAATTCCGAATGAGAGGTGTGGATACACATTGGAAGACAACGGCTCCTGTCATCCATGTAGTCTTTCTTCCCCTCCAAGATCCCATGGTAAAGACTATAAAACAAAACAAATAGATGCACAACAGTGCTAAAAATATAAAACTATGCCATTTTCAGTTCGGATGTTTTGAAAAATTTCTGGAGATAGAATGCAGATTCATTGATAACTTAAGCAAAGCACAGATTACAACTGCATCACGGGAGTGCCGTTCTTCACAGTGTAACTATGAGCAAAAGTGCCCATGAGTGGCTCAAAGCAGAAGAGCATTCAGGGGTTGTAAATTAGGTGAATAAGATTGCATACATATATGGCTGGTGTCCCCAACCCCATTCACTAATCACTGTGGTCAATTTATCTAAGAAGCTCTGTAAAATGAAATGGATAACTGGAATGTAGAAAGACAAAAGGCAGAATCTAAGATATAGCTGAGCTTCCATAAACATTGACCTGATAACAGGTTTACTAGATAAAATACAAAAACAAAAAAACCAGGATGTATGAACTTCAGATATACAAAAATAATTAAAATATTCCCAAAATATTACATGGGACACACTCATTCTAAAATATTATTTATTATTTATCTGAAATTCACACTTAACTAGGCATCTTGCATTTTTATTTGCTAAACCCAAAAACACAACATATGTAGAGATCCCTTCCCCTCACCTTAGAGGAAAGCCTGCTTGATGACAAAAATATGAATTTACCAGAAACCTCACTTAGCCCTCATATTCATAGGTGAGGAGCTATAGTCAAGAAACCTATCCAATGCAAAGAAAACCCTCACCAGCTACCTAGTCAGCCAGCCATTCCTCGATAAACGCAAATAACCAAACAAAAAATTGCCAACATTTGAGGAAAGGCAAAATAGGCCATAATAAGAAAGAAAACAATTACTGGACTTGGTAATGTGGGCAGTAGAAGAACATGTAAAAAGAAGCTCTAGTTAATATTCTCCTAGATATATTAAAGAAGAGTCCACCCATAAATCGAAGAGATGATGTGAAATAGTCATAAAACAGGAAAAAGTATATAGAAATCAAAATTTTAATTTATAAAAGATAAAGTACTGATTTTAATATTAAATGGCTATAGTGGAATACAGCATTAGGAATTTATAAGTTCAAGTTGAGAAACTATTCCAAAATATAGACAAAAAAAAAAAAAGAAAGACGGGGTTTAAGACACAGAGACACAGAAGCTCAATCCAGGAAATCCAGTGTTTATCAAATAAAAGAAATGAAGAGGCAATAAAAGGAAAGAAGAAAGTGGCTATGGATGTAGATCCCAATGGCAAAAAATCAGAAGGATGGGCACCATCTCAGCAGCAGCAGAGAAGTGACTATAAACTTCACCTGCCTTCTGGAAAAAGTGATTGTTTATTGGAATATGAGGAGAAAAAGATGACGAAAAAAGGAAAAGCAAAAGAAATTAACCTAGCTATTTCTAAGGATTTCGAAACTAAAATGTTAAATATTATTTACCAAATAAGGCAGCAGCAAATATATAAGATTAAAAACTAATAAACGGGCCAGGCACGGTGGCTCACGCTTGTAATCCCAGCACTTTGAGAGGCCGAGGTGAGTGGATCACGAGGTCAGGAGTTCGCGACCAGCCTGGCCAATACAGTCAAACCCCGTCTCTACTAAAAATACAAAAATTAGCCAGGCATGGTGGCGCAAGCCTGTATTCTCAGCTACTTAGAGGAGGCTGAGGCAGAATAATTGCTTGAACCTGGGAGGCAGAGATTGTAGTGAGCTGAGATCGCATGACTGTGCTCCAGCCTGGGCAACAGAGAGAGACTCCATCTAAAAAAAAAAACCAACAACAACAACAACAAAGAAAAAAACTAATAAATGAAAAATTATAAATTGACTCAGAATTATCATCCTTTTTACTGAGTTTTGCATTAATCTCTATGTAAGAAATGGTGATTAAATCCATGTAGACTATATGTATTCGAAAATTTCCTTTGACATGGATACTTGCTTTCCTCTAAGAAATACTCTTCTTCAATTTTTATATCTATGCCTTGATTTTGTAAGTACATTTAAAGATATATGTTACTAATAAAGATACAATGCATTCATCACTAACACCATAATAAAATGTCAAGGGGGAGAAAACTGAGAAAAGGCCACTAAATTTGTTAATTAGAGCAAACCCTCAATTTCAGTGGACAAAACATACATCCTTTTGATGTTAGCATATTAATAACATCCTTTAGAAGAGAAAAAATGATATGCCTACTTTGAAAACACACTAACAATATGAAATCATCCCTGTATATATCAAAATATATTGATACAGAGAAAGGTTTCTAGATAATTTACCAATGACAAAATCATGAAGAGATAAAATAGTTTTGCTTTTCTATCATGTGTGTGATATGTATATATCCTCCTTTGAATATATACATACTCTTTTTTGGTGATAGTATAGCTCTTGAGCAAAATGGAAAATAACTGCTGTTGGATAGGAAAATGCTATTTAGTACAAAAACCTATTAAATATGTTATAATTTCATATTAGTATGTTGCAAGTTTTACAGAAATGCTAGTTACAGAATTTGAAGATGGTTAAAGAATAAATATTTGGGTATTATCAGGTGCATTTCTTAAAAGTATCATAACAATTTAGATTTCATTAAAAAATGAACAACAAGACAATTATACTATTTCCTGTCATTTTCTCTACTGCAACATACATGCCCGGAGGGCACAGATTTTTGTTTTCTTTCATTAACTGCTGTTGATCAGGTAGATAGAATAGTACCTGGACTAGTAAGTCACTCAGTAAATATTTGTTGAATGAAAAAATGAGTCAACGAATGAATGAATAGCTATTCAAAGACATTTGTTTTGTTAATATACTCGAAGAAAATTACTACCTTCAATTATTCAATAAGCTACAGCCATTGCCATACTTGGTAAGCTCCATTCAGTGGCTCTATTAATTACCTAGATGATGTCTCTGAATCCTTTATTGCTTTTTGTTAATATTACTTCATGTCTGTTTCTCTTTCTTACTGAAAAGTAGGGTCTTTGATAAATCATCTAAGTTTGTTGCCAGGGGCTTCTCTTTCAGGTTAATAGAATACAGTTTGCCAGATATCTCCTAGGTGTAAAAGTAGAAACAGGCACAGTCTAGAGAAAAGTGAGGTGAGTAAAACATGTTTCATGTTTTTTTCTGATATTATAGGTCGTTCATTTTCTTAACAGGTTAATGGATGGTAAGTTCCTCAGATCCAGAGCCCCATTATGCAGCATTTGGAGTTATCAGCTATCGATATTCAGAGAAAGGACGGAGGATGTGTGTGGTATTAATGGCATATTGTGCATTTTATCTATTTTTAAACAAGAAAGTATACTTGTTCTTCGAAAAATATAGAGAATTAGAAATTAGAAATAGGATTATAAATATTACACAAAGTATACCTTTCATTATATATTAACCATTTTAAATATATAATGCTTTTCCAAGCTTTTTTTCCTTGAAAATTGTAATTGAAAAATGTTATTTTTTCTAGCCAAGGAATTGCTACAGACAGTTCTTTGCCACTTCTTCAGGGTAGCATTTTATGAGTTCTCATGTAATGTTGACTGGTTCTATTAATTGGGTCTCTCACAGAGTAGAATCATATCTGTGAATTGTGTTATTTATACAAATACAGGGGATGCATTTTCTCTAAATTACTAAACAAAGAAAAGTGACATGACGTTTTTCTTTCATGCTAACACAACTTCCTTTGTCTCTCAGTCCTTCTCTTTGCAAATGGATTATGGGTATTTAGGAGAGGCTAAAAACCCCTGGGAAAACCCCATTTCTTTTGCCCTAATTCTGTATTTTCTTATCATTTTTTCTTACAATACAGAAAATTTCAGTTTGATAGTAATCAGTATCAACGAATAAAGTGTATATTTGGGCATATCAACCTGCTTTACTTTCAGAACGGTTTTTAGGAATCTAATTTTATCTTTAAACCAAATTCACAAATTTAAAGGAGAAAAGAATGAGAGAGACAGAGAGAGAGAGAGAGAGACATGCAAACTGCAAATGTTGTATTCTTTAGATTACATCATAGCACAATTCTAATTTATTGCTTTGAGAATAGTGACATCTAGTGGTTATAAGGTATTAATACCATGGGTACCTTTGTGTCAAAATTCAACTGCAACTGCAAGTAAAGTCGAATTCTATCGACACAGAAAATCAAGAGGATTTTATAGGAACTGAAATGTCCTCAGCCACTTTCAGACATCTGTTTATCTGCCAGTAACATTCTAGACAGAATGTGACTATTAATTTGAAAGCCAAATACAGTGCAGAATAAAAGGAAATGTTATCAGTTTACCCTTGTGGGAGGTTAAACAATTATAGATTCTGAGGCTGGTTAGCAGAAACGTATCCTGTGTGTATTATAGAAACAGATTACTTTTAACATTTGCTTCCCATATCGATATAAAGTGTTTGTCAATCGTAAATATTTGTCCTATATTTGTTTTCCATTTGATTCCCAATGTATTTGTCTAACACATATATTGATTATGAATTAAAGTAATGACGTGAACCCTTAAAGGAATAGTGACTATTTAGCTCATATTATGATTAATTAAACCTACTATATGGAACAAGATAATAGGCCCCCTTTTTCCAGAGTTTTTCTTTTAGCAGTTTTAGTTACAGTACAGTAAGATATTTTGAGAGAGACCACATGCATATAACTTTTATTATGGTATAGTGTTATAATTATTCTATGTTATTATTAGTTCTTGTTGTTAATCTCTTACTGTGCCTAATGTATAAACTGTATCATAGATGTGTATGTAAAAGAAAAAAAACAGTATATATTGGGTTCAGTACTATCCACACTTATAGGCATCTGCTGGAGGCCTTGGAACACATCCACCATGGATGAAGGCAGGGGTTACTGTAATATGTTTGACACTTTGCAGTCTACAGATTATTTACAAATTATTAAATTATCATCATTGTATATTAACATCACTCTAATTTTATAGCAAAGTAAAGAAAATATTTAAATATTTAAGTAAATAAGCTAAGCCAACAAAAGTATCCTGGATAAGAGAGTCAATGAAACCTGGTAAATGGGCCATCTTCCAACTAACCCTTCACCCTGCCCTATTGACATTCCAGGGCAAAGAAATAAATGGCACAATGCTGGCTCCCTGCATTAAAAGACCACCCAGATTTAGATGGAATAAGAGTAGTGGGAATTATAGTTGTAACAACTGCCATCACCCTCAATTATGGAGTGTCTACTATTTGGCAAACTCTACTCTAAGAAATTATTATCCTCAGTAATAGAACTAGAAGAAGCATCTGTGATAAAAGGAATGTCTAACCCACCTAAGGTCATAAGGCTAGTACCTCTGAGATAATAATAGTGCAGATTAGAAACATAGCTTATTCTCCATTTATCAGGATATGTAGCAAATACATATACTATAAACCTAGACTTTTAAAATAGAAGTTGTTTTTTTGTATATTTGTTTAGTTCTAATTAGGCAAATTTAGATTTTATAAAGTATTTTATTTTGACTTGATATGCTTAATGCTATGTTTTATAAACAGGATCTACTGAAAAGAGCACTAGAATTGGAATTAGAAGACTCAGATTTTATCCAAATGTAATATCTCCCTGAACTGTTTGTTCTTGGAAAATTAATTTAATTTAGCTAAGTTTTTATTTCCTCATCTGTAATTCTGAAAAAAATAATCATTTTAAACTCTCTATAAACCATTATGGAATAAATAAACTGAAATATATGAAAGCATTTTGAAAACGTCAAAGCACTGTACAAGTTAAAAGTATTATAATAG
The DNA here is from genome assembly GCF_000001405.40 of Homo sapiens. Classification (NCBI taxonomy): domain Eukaryota; kingdom Metazoa; phylum Chordata; class Mammalia; order Primates; family Hominidae; genus Homo; species Homo sapiens. The sequence continues at coordinate 57,518,669 of NC_000002.12, forward strand.
TAATGATAGATTCATAAGAGTAACTGGACTGGTTATCTTTTCTGGAGTGAGGTCAAAAGATGACCTGAGTAAAATAAGCTTTTGGTAAATGTTTGAAATTGCTATTATAGAATCCTAAAGAGAAAAGACCACATTTTTTTTTATGAAAGTAAGGAAGAGGAAATTTCTAGAATTCAGAAAGTTCGCTACAAATAGACATAGATATTTGTATTTATATTATGTCTGTGGACCAGAGTATCAGATTGATCTAGCTGGTAGAAAATAGGCAATGTAGGCTGGGCAGGGTGGCTCACACCTGTAATCCTAGCACTTTGAGAGGCCAAGGCAGGAGGATCACTTGAAGTCAAGAGATAGAGATGAGCCTGGCCAACAAAGTGACACAGTGTCTCTACAAAAATAAAAATAAAAAAATTAGCTGGGCACAGTGGAGTGCACCTGTAGTTCTAGCTATTAGGAGGCTGAAGTGGGAGGGTTGCATGAGCCCAGTAGTTAGACTTTGCAGTGAGCTATGATGGTACCACTGCACTGAAGCCTGAGTGACAGTGTGAGAGACCCTGTCAAAAGAAAGAAAGAAACAGAGAGAGAGAGAGAGAAGGAAGGAAGGAAGGAAGGAAGGAAGGAAGGAAGGAAGGAAGGAAGGAGAGAAGGAAAGAAATAGTCAAATAGACAAATAGGCAATGTTACCCTTTTGGAGAAGCACTTTTGTTTTTGCAGAAGATTTTAATTCTGTAATTGCTTTAAAGTCAATGATATATAGGAAATATCACTAGTAATGGCTGACACTGAAATCACTGCTATATCCATTAAGCTGTATTTCTTGCTCTTTGACCGGATTCATAGTAACACACACTTTGTACAGGCATAATTTTTCAGGTGCCTAATGTATTCCTAAGTATTAAAGAGTGCTGTTTTTAAAAGTTGTTTCTTTGGGTTAAACGGGGGTTTTAAATTTATTCATATTTATTGAGCAGTACAGTATCTATACCATAATAATAATATATTATAAAAGAGGTATAAGGCAAATTACCAAATATCAATAAATTAATATTTTTGGAGGCAAAAGTGTTATATTGCCTAATACTTTGATGGATATTCTAATTTTTTTAATTTTTAATTTTATGAGTACATAGTAGGTATATATATTCTGGGATGCATGTGATGTTTTGATATAGTCATAAAATATGCGATAACCACATCAGGGTAATTGAGGTATCATTTATCATTATCAAGTGTTTAACCATCATTTGTCATTTCTTTGTGTTAGGAACATTTCAGTTCCACTCTTCGTTATTTTAACATATACAAAAAAAAATTTTGACTGTAGTCACCTCGTTCTGTTCTGCTATCAAATAGTAGATCTTATGCTATCTAAGAATGTTTTTGCACTCATTAACTGTCTCCATATTTTCTCCTCTTCCCTGCTACCCTTCCTTGCTGGCCTCTGTTAACAATCATTCTACTCTAGCTATTCATGAGTTCAATTGTTTTCATTGTTAGTTCGCATCTATAAGTGAGAACCTGTGAAATTCGTCTTTCTGTTCCTGGCTTATTTCACTTAATATAATGTCCTCCAGTTCCATCCACGTTGTTGCAAATGACAGGATTTCATGCTTTCTTAAAGCTGAATACTATTTCACTCTGTATATGTGCCATATCTTTATTCATTCATCTGTTGAGAAACACTTAGGTTGATTTCAAATCTTGGCTACTGTGAATAGTTCTGCAATAAACATGGGGGTGCAGATATTTCTTCAATATACTGATTTCCTTTCTTTTAAATTTATACCTAGCAGTGGGATTGCTGGATCATATGGTAGTTCTCCACAGTGGTTGTACTAATTTACATTCCCACTAACAACAGTATATCAGGGTTCCTTTTTCTCCACCTCCTCATCAGCATTTTTTGTTATTTGTCTTTTGGTCAAAGGCCATTTTAACTGGGGTGAGATGATCTCTCCTTGTAGTTTTGATTTGCATTTCTCTGATAAATAATGGTGCCTAGTTTTCACACACCTGTTTGCCATTTGTGTGTCTTGAGAAATGTCTATTCAGATCTTTTGCCCATTTTTTAATTGAATTATTAGATTTTTTAAATTGATTTGTTTGAGCTTCTTATATATTCTAGTTATTAATCCTTATCAGATGGTTAATTTGCAAATATTTCCTCTCATTCTGTAGATTGCCTCTTCACTCTTTTGATTGCTTCTGTTGCTGTGCAGAAGCTTTATAACACAATGTGACAAACTCCCATTTGTTCATTTTTGCTTTGGTTGCCTGTGGTTTTGAGATATTACTCAAGCAATATTTGCCCAGACCAATGTCCTGGCTAGTTTCCTCAATGTTTTCTTTTAGTAGTTTCATAGTTTTAGGTCTTAGATTTAAGTCTTTAATCCATTGTGATTTGAATTTTGAATATAGCAAGAGATAGAGACATAGTTTCATTCTTCCCATATAAATATCCAGTTTTCTCAGTATCAGGTATTAAATAAACTGTCCTTTCCAAATGCATGTTCTTGACACCATTGTCAAAAATGAATTCATGGTATATTTATGGATTTATTTTTGGGTTCTCTGTTCTTACCTATTGGTCCATGTGACTGTTTTTCTTTTGTTGTTGTTGTTTTGTTGTGTTTTCTTTGCCGTTAGCAATCTGTAGGTTACTATAACACTGTTGTGTAATTTGAAATCAGGAAATGTGAGTTTTCTAGTTTTGTTCTTTTTCCTCAGGATGACTTTGGCTATACTGGGTCTTTTGTGTTCCCATACATATTTAAAAATGTTTTATTCTATTTCCGTGAAGTATGATATCAGTATTTTGATAGAAACTGCATTGAATCTGTAGATCGTGTTGGATAGTATGGACATTTTAACAATACTGATTCTTCTAATTCATAAACATAAAATATTTTTTCCATTTTTTTGGTGTCCTCTTCAATTTTTTGCAACATTGTTTTATAGTTTTCATTGAAGAGATCATTCACTTATTTTTAACTTTATTCCTAGGCATTTATTTTGTTTTATTTGTAGCTATTCATTCATAAATGGGATTACTTTCTTGATTTATTTTTCAGATTGTTTGCTATTGCCATATAGAAATGATACTGATTTTTGTGTGTTGATTTTGTATCCTACAACTTTACTGAATTTATCAGTTCTAATAGATTTTTGGTGTAGTCTTTAGATTTTTCTAAATATAAGATCATAATGTCTACACACGAGGATAATTTCACTTCCTCTGTTTCAATTTGAATGCTGTTTATTTCTTTCTTTGTTTAATTGCTCTAGCTATGTCTTCCAGTGCTATGTTGAATGACAGTGGTGAAAGTGGGCATTCTGTCTTATCCCAAATCTCAGAGGAAAGACTTTTACTTTTTCCCCATTCAGTATGATACCAACTGTGGTTGGTATGATCTTTTTTACTCACAAGAAGATGATGCATGTTATTGAATGCTTTTCAGCATCAATTGTAATGATTATATGGTATTGTCATTCATTCTATTGATATAATGTATCACATGATTTATTTGCATATGTCAAACCATCCTTGCATGCATAAGATAAATCCTGCTTGTTCGTGATGAATGATCTTTTTAATGTGTTGTTGAATTCAGTGTATTTGTATTTTGTTGAAGATTTTTGCATCAACATTCATCAGAGATATTTACCTATAGTTTTCTCTTTTTTGTTGTGCCTTTGTCAGGTTTTTGTATCAGGATAATTAATGTAGTTTGGATAGTTGTCCCCAGCCAAATCTCATGTTGAAATGTAATCACCAATGTTGGAGGTGTGGCCTTATAGGAGTTGTTTGGCTCATGGGGACAGATTCTGCATGGCTTGGTGTTGTTGCCATAATAGTGAGTTCTCAGAAGATCTGGTTGTTCAAAAAGCCCTCTCCCATCTCTCTTGTTCCTGCTTTAACTATATGATGTGTCTGCTCCTGTTTCACCTTCCACCATTAGTAAAATCTTCCTGGGGCCTCTCCAGAAGCCAAGCAGATGCCAGTGCCATGCTTCCCATACAGGCTGCAGAACCAATTATATTCCTTTTTCTTATAAATTTACTCAGCCTCAGGTATTTATTTATAGCAGTATAATAACAACCTAACACAGAAAATTGGTACAAAGAGTAGAGTGTTGTTATAAATATATCTGAAAAAGTGGAAGCAGCTTCGTAACTGGGTAATGGTCAAAGGTTGGAAGAATTTAGGGGGCTCAGAAGGAAACATGAAGATGAGGCAAAGTGTGGAGTTTCTTATAGACTGATTAAATGGTTGTGATCAGATGCTTGTCTATCAAGATGAATAGTGAAGTTCAGGCTGATGAGGCCTCAGTTAGAAATGTAGAACTTATTTGAGACTGGAGCAAAGGTCACTCTTCTTATGCCTTAGCAAAGAACTTGGGTATGATATGTTTATGCCTTAGGAATCTGGAAATTTGAACTTGTGTAGGTTATCTGGTGGAAGAAATTTCTAAGCACCAAAGCATTCACGACATGGCCTGGCTGCTTCTAACAACTTACACTCAGATGTGGGGACAAAGAAATTACTTAAATTTGGAAGTTATATTTAAAGAGAAAAGCAGAGGGTAAAAGTTTGAAAAATTTGTAGCCTGGCTATGTGGTAGGAAAGAAAATCCCATTTTCTGGAGAAGGATTCAAGCAGGCTGTGGAGAAACCACTTGCTAGTGAGATTTGCATAATTAAAAAAGAACCAAGTGCAAAGAAAATAGGAAAAAGGGCTTGAAAGCATTTCAGAGGTCTCTGAGCCAGCTTCTTGCATCACAGGCCCTGAGGCCTTTTAGAAGGACTGAATGGTTTCCTGGCCCAGGCCCAGGGAAACACTGCCCTGTACCATTCCAGGAGGCTGCCTCTCAAATTGTGTCCACGTGGGCTCCAGCCTCAGCTCAAAGGGCCCAAGGAACAGCTTGGGCCACCATTCTGGAGGATGCAAGCCATAAATCTTGGAAGCTTTTATGGAGTGTAAAGCCTGTAGGCACATAGAGTGTAAAAGTGAAGAAGGCTCAGCACCCTTTGCCTAGATTTCAGAGGATGTATGAGAAATCCTGGGTGCCAAGGCAGAAGACTGCTGCAGGGATGGGACCCATACAGACAACCTCTATTAGGGCAGTATAAAGAAGAAGTGTAGGGTTGGAGGCCCTACAAAGAATCCCCACTAGGGCACTACCTAGTGGAACTGTAGGAGGAGGGCCAACATCCTCCAGACCCCAGAATCGTAGATTCAACTGGAATCTTTCATACCGCACCTGGAAAAGCTGCAGGCATTCAACTCCAAACCATGCGAGAAGACACAGGGGCTGAACCCTGCAAAGCCACAGGGATGGAGTTCCCCAAAGCCTTGGAAGCCCACCTTTGCACGAGTGTGTCCTGTAGGTTAAAGGAGATTATTTTGGAACTTCAAGACTTAATTACTGCCCCGCAGAATTTCAAACTTGTGTGGAGCCTGTAGCCCTTCTTTTGGCTGATTTCTCCCTTTTGGAATGGGAATGTTCACCCAATATCTGTACCCACGTTGTATCTTGGAAGTAAATAACTTATTTTGATTTCACAGGCTCATAGGTGGAAGGAATTCATCTCCAGATGAGACTTTGGGCTTGGGACTTGGGACTTTTCAGTTAATGCTGGAATGAGTTAAGACTTTGGGAGACTATTGGGAAAGCACTGAGACAGCCACATGGGAGGGGGTTCCTGGAGAAATTTCAACCAGCCTGCCCACTGGGGTAGAGCCTCGGGAAGTTTGCACAGTTTTCAGCAGGGAGGAATCTGGCCCCTCCGCTTCCTGCGTGGAACCTGGGATTCAAATGGCAGGACGGGAAGTGCTGTAGCAGGGACTGTGGCCTTGTAAGAGTCCCTGTTTCACCCTTTTCTTCCTTTCTATCCAATAAACTGTGTCTTACTCACCATTCAAACCATGTGAGCCTAAATTTTCATGGTCACAGGACTGACAAGGACCCTGTCTTTAGCTGAACTAAGGAAAAGTCCTGCAACAGCATGAATGTATTTTGCATTGTGAGAAGAATTTGACATTTGGTGAGGGCCAGGGGCAGAATAAAATAGTTTGTATATTTGTTCTCCTACTCCAACAAAACATAAATATATTTTATACTCTGTATGATATTCCAATACAGCATTGTTTATTTCTCAAATTGTTCAAGCTTTGGACATTGGCAGCTGTTTCATTTGGCTGCTGCATAATTATCACACCTATCTTTTTTTTCTTGTCACTTGTTACTTTCTGACTTATTTGTTTATTTAAATATATTTAAGGGATACAAGTGTAGATTTCTTATATGCATATATTGCATAGTGGTGAAGTCTGGGCTTCTAGTGTACCCATTATCCAAATAGTGTATATTGCACCCAGTAGGTACTTTTCCAACCCTCGCCCCCTACACTATCCCACCTTTTGTAGTCTCCAATGTACATCATTCCACTCTGTATGTCAATGTGTACCTCTTGTTTTGGCCCCCACATGTAGGTGACAGCATGCAGTATTTAGCTTTCTGTTTCTGAGCTATGTTACTTAGGATAATGGCCTCCAGTTCCATCCAAGTTGTTGAAAAGACATGATTTCATTATTTTTATGGCTAAGTAGTATTCCATAGTGTATTGATATCACATTTTTTAAATCCAGTCCTCCATTGATGGACACTTAGGTTGATCCTATATCTTCACTATTGTGAAGAGTACTGTAGTAAACATACGAGCATAAGTGCCTTTTTGATATAATGATTTATTTTCTTTTTAATAGACACCTAGAAGTGGGATTGCTGGATTATCTGGTATTTATTTTTAAGTTTGTTGAAAAATCACCATACTGTTTTCCATAGAGGTTGTACTGATTTACGTTCTCACCAACAGTGTATAATTCCATTTTCTCTGCATCCTGACCAATATCTGCTGTGTTTAGACTTTTAAATAATGCCCATTCTGACTGGTGTAAAATGGTATCTCATTGTGATTTTAATTGGCTTTCCTCTGGTGATTAGTGATATTGAGCATTTTTTCATATTTTTTGGCACTTGCATACCTTCTTTTGAAAACTGTATCTTTGTGTCCTTTGACCACTTTTTAAGGAGGTTATTTGGCTTTTTTGTTGTTGAATGTTTTCATTCCTTGTAAATTCTGGATATTAGCCTTTTGTCAGATAAATGGTTTATAAATATTTTCTCCTATTCTGTAGGTTGTCTATCTATTCTGTTGATTGTTTTGTTTTTTGTTTTTTGGCGTGCAGACCTTTTTAATTTAATTAAGTACCATTTGTCTTTGTTTTTGTTGCATTTGCTTTTGAGAGCTTGCTCGTAAATCCTTTGCCTAGGCCAATGTCCAGAAGTGTATTTCCTAAATATTCTTCCAGGATTTTTATGGTTTCTGGTCTTACATTTAGGTTTTTAACCTATCTTGAGTTAATTTTTGAATGTGTTGAGAGATATTGGTCCAGTTCACTCTTCTGCATATGGCTTTCCAATTTTCCCGGCACCGTTTATTGAATAGGGTGTCATTTTCCCAGTGTATATTTTTGTTGACTGTGTAGATCTGTTGGTTGTAGACAGGTGGCTTTATTTCTGGGTTCTCAATTTTGTTCTATTGATCTATCAGTCTATTTTTATACCAGTACTAAGATATTTTGGTTACTATAGCCTTGTAGTATAATTTGAAGTTATGTAAGGTGATGCTTCCAGCTCTGGGTGTTTTTGTTGTTGTTTTGCTTAGGATTGCTTTTATCCAAATATTCTGATGACAACTTAACTCTGGTTTCATAAACAACAACAATCAAGCAAAGAAAATACTAATAAGAACTCTACATTAAAACTCCATCCCTGACCACTTTTTATTGTTTCCATGTATACCTTTTTAGACTATCTCTTAAAAAGTTGTTACAGTTATTATTGTTGATAGGATTGTATTTTAATCTTCCTACTCAAGATAACATGAGTGGTTTACACATGACAATCATAGTGTTAGAGCATTATGTATTTCTCTTTGTACTTACTGTTACTAGTGAGTCTTGTGCCATCAGGTGATTTCTTATTGCTTGGTAATGTCATTTTCTTTCAGATTGAAAAACTCCCTTTAGCATTTCTTATAGGACAGGTCTGGTATTGACGAAGTTTCTCAGTTTTTGTTTGTCTGGGAAAGTGTTTATTTTCCTTTATGTTTGAATGATACTTTCACTGGATATACTATTCTAAGATAATTTTTTTCTTTTAGCACTTTGATATGTGTCATGCCACTCTCTCCTCGCCTGTAAGGTTTCCACTGAGAAGTCTGCTGCCAGATGTATTGGAGTTCCTTTATATGTTGTTTCTTTTCTCTTGCTGCTTTTAGGATATTTTCTTTATTCCAGAACTTTGAAAGTTTGAAATCTGCTTGGTGTTCTATGACCTTTTTGTACTTAATTATTGGCATCTTTCTCTAGGTTTTGATCATTTTCTGTTATTATTTTATTAAACAAACTTTCTACTCTGATCTCTCTCTCTCTCTCTACCTCCTCATTAGGGCCAATAACTCTTAGATTTGCCATTTGGAAACTATTTTCTAAGTCTTGTAGATGTGCTTTATTATTTTTTATCTCATGTTTTTCTCCTCTGATTATGTACTTTTTATATAGCTTGTCATCAAGATCACTAATTATTTTATTGTTTGATCAGTTCTGCTGTTGAGAGACTTCGATGTATTTTTCATTTTGTCAAATGATTTTTTAGCTCCATTCCTGCTTGATTTTAAAAATTATTTTATTAATCTCTTTGTTAAATTTCTCTGATAGGACTCTGAATTCCTTTCTTGTTTTTTTTTTCATTATTTTAACTTTTATTTTAAGGTCAGGGGTACAAATGCAGGTTTATTACATAGGTAAACTTCTGCCATGGGTTATCTTGAATTTTGTTGAGCTTCCTCAAAACAGTTATTTTTAATTCTCTGTCTGAAAGGTCACATATCTTTTTCACTCTGGGATTGCTCACTGGTGTTTCATTTACTTCATTCGATGATGAGGTCATGTTTTCTTGGATGTTCTTGATGCTTTTGGATGTTCATCAAGATCTGGGCACTGAAGAGTTAGGTATTTGTTTTAATCTTCTCATTCCAGGTTTGCTTGTACCCATCTACTTGAGAAAGCTTTCCAGGTATTCAATGGGAATTGAATGTTGAGATTGGAGTCTCTGGTTACTATAGCCATATCTGTGCTAGGGGGCACCACAAGCCCAGTAACACTGCAACTCTTGCAGACTCATAAAAGTACCACCTTGGTGTGCTTTGGTAAGATCTGGGAGAATTCTATGGATATAAGATAGAGTCTCTTGTTCTATTTCCTTACTTTTGCCAAGCAACCAGAGTCTGTCTTTCCATGCTTGGCTGTCTGGAAGTGGAGGAGAGTCAATGCAAGCACACCCCGGGCCACCACAGCCAGGACTGCACTGGGTCACAGTACTACGTCTTACCCAAGGTTCATGGCAACTACTGCCTGGCTACTGCTGATGTTTATTCCAGGACCAATGGCACCTTAGTCAGCAGGTGATGAAGCCCTCCAGGGCTGAGTCCTTCCCTTCAGAGAGGCAGGTTTCCTTTTGGCCCAGGGTGGGTCTATAAATGTCAGCCAGGAACTAGGGCCTGGAATCAGGGGCTTCAGGACTCTGCTTGGTGCTTTATTATACTGTGGCTGAGCTAGTGTTCAAGTTTCAAAACAAAGTTCTCTTTACTCCTTCTCCTTTCTGCAAGTGGAAGGAGTCTCTCTCTAAGCTGCATTACCCAGGGTTAGGGGAGGGATGGCACAAGTACTTTGTTGGCTGCCCCAGCTGGTGTCTCACTGGGTTGCATGCAGCCAAAGTCCACAGGTTCTGAGCCCAGTATAGCACCAGGACTTGCCCAAGGACTGCAGTCTTTGTGGCCTAGACTGCCTTTCAAATTTATTCAGTACCGCAGGGCACTTGAGTCCACTAGCAGCAGGGCTTGCTGGAACTCAGGTTCCTACTGCTGGGGCAGGGGATTCCCCTCTGGCTAAAGATGCTCTAAATGCTCCCTCCATGGGGTCCAGCCGAATTCTGCCCTACATTGTGTTCCACTGTGACAGGGCGGCACTGAGCTCCAATGAAAAGTCCCACAATCACTTAACTCTCCCTCACACAAGCATATAGATTCTCTCTCCACAAGGCAAGCTGTGCTGTCAAGGAATAAGGGAGGGGTAGTGAGGCAATACAACACTGTCTTTCCTACTCTCTTCAGTGTCTCTTTCCTTGATATAATGTTAAAACCAGGTACTGTGATTTTTCACCTGGTTTTTGGTCTTTATGAAGGTGCTTTCTTTTGTGCATAGTTGTACAATTTGGTGTTCCCACAGGGGGTATGATCACTGATCCCTGGAGGGTTCTATTCAGCTATCTTATTCTACCTTCTCTACCTCCTCCCAATACTGACTAAAATTTCTTAATACTCATCTTAAAGCTTATACTGATGATTTCCTTTTTTACTTCTGTATTATACAGGATGCTAGTAGGAAAATTACAGCACAAGCAAATATAGAAATTTTAGGTTCATTTAAAAAGAGACAATTTGCAAATTTTGACAGAACATGGAAACCGTAAGAGTTCAGCAAGAAAGATTAGTGTAACGTTTAGCTCTTTATCCTGAAAGAAAGAGCAGGTAGAGGGAACAGTAACTGGAATCTGGAAAGATATATCTATATCTGTATTAGTCCATTTTCACAATGCTATAAATAACTGGGTAAAGGACTGGGTATAAATAACTGGCCCAAGACTGGGTAAAGGAAAAAGGTTTAATTGACTCACAGTTTAGCATGGCTGGGGAGGCCTCAGGAAACTTACAATCATGGCAGAAGGTGAAGGGGAAGCAAGGCACCTTCATCAAAGGTGGCAGGGGGAAGAAGTGCTGAGTGAAGGGGAAAGAGTCCCTTATAAAACCACCAGATGTCAGGAGAACTCACTCACTATCATAAGAACGGCAGGAGGGAAACAGCTTCCATGATTCAATTACCTCAACCTGGTCTCTCCCTTGACACATGAAGATTATGGGGATTACAATTCAATATGAGATTTGGGAGGGGACACAAAGCCTAACCATATCAATGTCTCTCTCTGGGTTTTAGGTTGTATATAGATATATATCCGAATTAGTCCATTTTCACACAGCTATAATAACTGCCTAAGACTGGGTAATCTATAAAGGACAGAGGTTATATATATATGCAGAATAGGCCTCTGATAAAATTCAACATTGCTTCATGTTAAAAACTCTCAATAAACTAGGTGTTGATGGAACATATCATCTCAAAATAATAAGAGCTATTTATGACAAACCCACAGCCAATATCATATTGAATGGGCAAAAGCTGGAAGCATTCCCTTTGAAAAACTGGTACAAGAAAAGTATGCCATCTCTCAATACTCCTATTGAACATAGTATTGGAAGTTCTGGCCAGGGCAATCAAGCAAGAGAAAGAAATAAAGGATATTCAGATAGAAAGGGGAGAAGTCACATTATCTTTGTTTACAGATGATATAATCCTACATCGAGAAAACCCCACCTTCTCAGCCCCAAAGCTTTTTAAGCTGATAAGCAACTTCAGCAAAGTTTCAGGATACAAATCAACATGCAAAAATTGCTAGCATTCCTATACACCAACAACAGGCATACAGAGAACCAAATCATGAATGAATTCCTATTCATAATTGCTACAAAGAGAATAAAATATCTAGGAATACAGTTAACAAGGCAAGTGAAGGATCTCTTCAATGAGAACTACAAACCACTACTCAAGGAACTCAGAGAGGACACAAACAAATGGAAAAACGTTTCATGCCCATGGATGTGAAAAATCAATTTTGTGAAAATGGTGATACTACCCAAATTAATTTATAGATTTAATGCTATTCCCATTAAACTACCATTGACATTCTTCACAGAATTAGGAAAAATTTTTTAATTCATATGGAACCAAAAAAGAGCTCATATAGCCAAGACAATCTTAAGCAAAAAGACCAAATCTGGAGGCATCACACTACTCAACTTCAAGCTATACTATAAGTCTACAGTAACCGAAACAGCATGGTACTGGTAAAAAAATAAAAAGAAAAAAAGAAAAAGAAAAAGAAAAGAAAAAAAAAAGAAAAAAGATGTATAGACCAATGGAACAGAATAGAAAACTTTTGAACAAGACTGCACACCTACAACCATCTGATCTTTGACAAATCTGACAAAAACAAGCAATGGGGAAAAAATTCCCAATTTAATAAACAGTGCTGGGAGAACTGGCTAGACATATGCAGAAAACTGAAACTGGACCGCTTACTTATACCTTATAAAAAAATTATCTCAAGATGGATTAAAAACTTAAATGTATAACTGAAAACTAGAAACCTTAGAAGAAAATCTAGGCAATACCACTCAGGACATAGTCATGGGCAAAGATTTCATAATGAAAACACTGAAAGGAATTGCAACAAAAGCAAAAATTGACAAATGGGATCTAATTAAAGAGCTTTTGCACAGCTAAATAAACTATCGTCAGAGTGAACAGACAACCTACAGAATGGGAGAAAATCTTTGAAATCTATCCATCTGACAAAGGTTTAATATTCAAAGTTTGCAAGGAACTTAAACAAACTTAGAAGAAAAAAACCAAACAACTCCATTACAAAGTGGGCAAAGGACATGAACAGACATTTCTCCAAAGAAGACATTCATGCAGCCAAGAAACATATGAAAAAATGCTCAACATCACTGATCATTAGAGAAATGCATATCAAAACCACAATGAGATACCATCTTATGCCAGTCATAATGTGATTATTAAAAAGTCAAGAGGCCTGGCACAGTGGCTAATGGCTGTAATCCCAGAACTTTAGGAGGCTGAGGCCGGTGGATCACTTGAGGTCATGAGTTTGAGACCAGCCTGGCCAACATGGCGAAACCCTGTCTCTACTAAAAACACAAAAATTAGCCAGGCATGTTGGCATGTGCTTGTAATCCCAGCTACTAGGGGGGCTGAAGCAGGAGGTTTGCTTGAACCTGGGAGGCATGGGTTGCAGTGAGCCAAAGTTGTGCCACTGTACTCCAGCCTGGGCAACAGAGCGAGACTCTGTCTCAAATAAATAAATAAATAAATAAATAAATAAATAAATAAATAAAATAAAAAGTCAAGAAACAAAAGATGCTGGCAAGGCTGTGAAGAAAAAGGAGCACTTTTACACCGTTGGTGGAAATGTAAATTAGTTCAACCATTGTGGAAGACATTGTGGTGATTTCTCAAAGATCTAGAAGCAGAAATACCACTGGACCGAGCGATCCCATTAATAGGTACATACCCAAAGGAATATAAATCTTCCTATTATAAAGATACATGCACATGTATGTTCATTGCAGTACTATTCACAATAGCAAAGACATGCATTTAGCCCAAATGGCCATCAATGACAAACTGAATAAAGAAAACGTGGTACATATACACCATGGAATACTGTGTAGCCACAAAAAGGAATGAGATCATGTCCTTTGCAGGGACATGGATGGAGCTGGAAGCCATTATCCTCAGCAAACTAACACAGAAAACCAAACACTGCATGTTCTCACCTATAAGTGGGTGCTGAATGATGAGAACACATGGATACATGCTGGGGAACGACCTATACTGGGGCCTGTCAGAGGGGTGGTGTGGAGGGAGAGCATCACGGAGAACAGCTAATGGGTGCTGGCCTTAGTACGTAGGTGATAGGTTGTTCCGTGCAGCAGAACACCGTGGCACACACTTACCTATGTAACAAATGTGCACATCCTGCACATGTACCCTGGAACTTAAAATAAAAGTTGATTTAAAAAAATCAAAAAGGAAAAAAGAAACTAGTCCTCTCCGTGAGCCAACTTCATTAAACTCTTATATAAGCTTCCTACCCTGACCTCGTCACTGAAGTCATATTCAGGTAAAACATTCCTTTCTTTCCCTTTCTGCCTGAGGATATGCTGCAGCATTCTGTAAGTAAGGTTCTCCTAATGAATGCTTCAAACTAATCAACTTAATATTTGGTGCTTCTTTCTTTTGAATCCCAGCTGGCCCCATCTCAGAATGGTTTGGGGCACTGTACTTTTGGGGAGACTCCTGCAGAGGGTTTGCCAGGCTAAATAGAGTCCTATCTCTCTTGGCCACCCTGAAAGATGGAGTGGGTTAAAACTTGGCACTACTGCTTCAGCTGAAGTGGGACTCCTTCCTTGGAGGTGATAACAGGTGTCATTTGCTTGACAAAATTATCAACAGACTAATCATCATGAAGGATGCTCCTGTGGGAAAGATGAGACAATTTGAATAACAGAAAACAATGAATGCATTTAACTGAAATCCACTACATATATATTTTAAAATTATGTTTTTGATGATACTCAATTTTTTAAATAAGAGAAATCCAATAATCAACAATGACAGCAACTAAGAATATTGGAAATAACTAAGGCATCAACAACTCTGTATGAAAATTATAAATTAAAATAAAATAAGCATTTATCCTATCTTTCCTTTTATGAATTGATAAAAGAGAAAAAATCTTTATAGAAAAATTTCTCATAGTAAATATAGAAAAAAGTAAAAAAAATATTGCAGCATTTAATGAAATAATTGATTCAGGCAGCAATCATTCATTAAAAGATTGATGAGGAATTTTACAATAGAGGGATCCCTGATCAATGGCATTATTGTTTAAAATGTGACAATCTTCTGATGCAATGCTATGTGAAGCACACAGCACTAACAGTAACGTGTTCTTGACCAAAAAGTTGGGCCTAAAACTAATCAAACCTTCTGGGATAACTTCTCTTTATGGAAAATATAGGGAACAAAAGGATACGTTAAATGGTGTGATGCAAACAAATTCACAATGTGGGACATTTACAACTAACGCAGCGTCTACAATAAATTCATGGCATTTACAATAAAAATGAGAGGGAAAATGGGCAAAAGATTTCAATAAGCAGTTTATCAAAGAAGATATACAAATGGCAATAAAACACAAGAAATGTTTGGCATAATTAGTTATTTGAGAAACACAAATTAAAATCACAGTGAGAAACTTCTCACTGCCTACCTGCTAAAATGACTAAAATAAAAATAAGATAGTGACTACATCTAGTGTTTTATCCACAGTCTTATATCTTGCCATATATTGTTCCTTTCTTTTTGCTCTGAATTTTGGATTCTTCTTCATTCTTAATTTTTGAATGCTATTTTAAAAAACTCTTTTAGTTTTTGTTGTTTTGTTTTGGGGTAAGTCCAATTACTTCTGTGATGTACTCAGACTCCTAATATCCAAGCCTGATCTGGTGTCCTATGATTTCCTTTTTCCCTGAATTCTACTAAGGTGTAGACATAAATGATTACCCGCTATTATTCCAGAGGTCACAAGATATGTAACTTCCCCAATTACTCCTACAGATAACAGCACTATTCTAGAACCTATGATTGGTATTTTGACATGTCTTTTCAGGTTGTTCTGCATGTCTGACACCCAATGGCTCCAACTGTACCTGCCAATTCCTTCTGTACCTTTACCCAGAAGTGAGTCAGTGCACATGAAAAGCATTTCCCACACCTGTACTGCATCCTCAACCAGTCAGCAGCAAGCACGCACTGTCTACTCATCCCTTCACCTCCCTCACTCCCCCAGCCCCTCAACCTCCTCAGCATGCCACCTCTTCCCCCAAACTATCCTTGAAAAACCATAGCCTCCAAATTTTGTGAGAGACTGATTTCAGTAATATTAAAACTCTGATCTCCTCTTCAGCCAGCTCTGCATGAATTAAGCTCTTTCTCTATTGTGATTCCCCTGTCTTAATAAATCAGCTCCATCTGGGCAGCAGGCAAAATGAATCCATTGTCAGGTTACATTACTTGCCCCTCCCACATTGTTTCCAGTATTATTAACTTCTTGCATTGGTGTGGTACCCTTGGCACCATTGTTGAACCACTATTGATACTGTTGACCTAAAAGGAAGAATCTGAGGCAAAATTAGAGAGTGTATAGGCTGGGAGCAGTGGGTGGCTCATGCCTGTAATCCCAGCACCTTGGGAGGCAGAGGTGGGCGGATCACCTGAGGTCAGGAGTTGGACACCAGCCTGGCCAACATGGTGAAACCACATCACTACTAAAAATACAAAAATTAGCCAGGCATGGTGGCATGCACCTGTAATCCCAGGTACTTGGGAGACTGAGGCAGGAAAATCACTTGAACCTGGAAGGCGGAGGTTGCAGTGAGCCGAGATCGCACCTCTGCACTCTAGCCTGCCTGGATGACAGAGCGAGACTCTGTCTAAATAAATAAATAATAAATAGATAAATAAATAAGTGAAAGTAGAGAGTTTCTTTGGGTCATACACTCCAATTAGCAAGAAGCAGATTTTTAAAGGCAAAAAACGGGGACCAGGAATGGGCTGATAAAAAGTTGTCAGAAATTCTCATCGGTTTACAGAATAACATTGATTAGAGACTGGCTTTACATTTGTAAGCTACAGGATATAGGTTATAGTGTCCAGTGTGGCATTATTAGGTTAATTTACAGCTACTTGCGGCAACAGCAAGCAGTTTCAAGAGAGAAACAGGTAGCTCAAAGGGGAGAGTAGAGTGTGATTGTGGTCTCATTTTAATGTCTCTCTGGGCCTAATAATTAAAGGACTTGCATTCCTCCGTTCTTGCATTCCTACAAATTCTTTTTCTCCCTCAATACATTATTATTAACTAATCTCCAATATTCACACTAGGGCTCATTCTTTGTTTTGTATAGCTTTACGGGTTTGACAAACACTTAGGGTCATGTATCCAGCATTACAGTATCATACACAATATTCAGTGCCCTAATGATCTACTGTGCTCCACCTATTCATCTCTTCTTCCCCACCCCCTTGCAACACCAATTTTTCATGCCTCCATAATTTTGCCTTTTCCAGAATGTCATATAGTTGTAATCATACAATATGCAACCTTATCAGTCTGGCTTCTTTCACTTAGCAATATGCATTTATGTTCTCTTCATGTTATTTTTTGGCTGAAAAGCTCATTACTTTTTATTTTTGAAAAACACTTCATTTTACTTGGTTAGATTTATATCTAAGTACAGTTAAGCCTTCTGCATCCATGCATTCAACCAACTGCAGATAAAATATATGTATATTTAATTTGATCGGGGAATCCTGGAACCAATCCCCACAGATACCAAGGGAGGACTATATTTCATGTGTTGGTGCTACAGTAAATGGCATTATGTTTCTGATTTCAAATTCTAGTGTTTCATTGCTGGTGCATTCCAAGGCAACTGACTTTTTAGATCAACCTTGTATCTTCCAACCTTGATATAATCAATTAATATTAGCTCCAGAAGGTTTTTTCTTCTAGAATTTTGGAATGTTTTTTACAGACAATTATATCATTTGCAAACAAAGACAGTTTTACTTGTTTCTTCATAATCTGTATAGATTTTATTTCCATTTTTTATCTTATTACATTAACTAGAACTCCCAGCACACTGTTGAATAGGAATCAAAGAAGAGATACCCTTGTCTTGCTCCCAAACTTAGGAGGAAAGCATTTAGCTTCTCCTCATTAATGATGTTAGCTTAGAGTTTTTGTAGATATTATTTACTAAGATAAAAAAAGTCCCTCTCTCTTTCTAATTGGCTGAAAATTTCTCATCATGTATGTAGTGTTGGATTTTGTCAAGTGCTTTCTCTGCATCACATTTATTTATATAATCATATGATATGTATTCTTTAGCCAGTTGATATGATCAACTACATTAATTGATCATTCATATTAACCCAGCCTTGCATACATACCTTGAACAAATTGTACTTGGTCATGGTATATAATTATTTTTATACAGTGTTGGAGTCCATTTGCTGATATTTTGTTGAGGAATTTTGGATCTGTGTTCATGACTGATAGTGTTCTATAGTTTTCTTCTTTCAATGTCTTTGTTTAGTTTTCATATTTGTGTAATGCTGGCCTCATAGAATGAGTTACTGCTTCCTCTGCTTCTATTTCTGGAAAAGATTGGACAGAATTGATACTATTTTCTTCTTGAAATGTCTAGTAGCATTCACTAGTGAAACCATCTGCATCTGGTGACTTCTATTTTGAAATGTTTGTAATTGTTGATTCAATACATTTAATACATACAGGCCAAATTATGTATTTCTCCTTGCTTGAGTTTTGGAAGATTTTTGCTTTCAAGGAATCATTCTATTTCATCTAAGTTATAGATCTATGGGAATAGAATTCTTCATAATATTCCTTTATCACTTTCTTCATGTCTGTGGGATCAGTAGTGGTGTGACGTTTTTCATTTCTAATATTAGTAATTTATGACTTTTCACTTTTTGTTCTTGGTTAGCATAATGAAAAGTTTCACAATTTTACTGATATTTTCAAAGAACCAGCTTTTGGTTTCCTTGTTTTTCACTATAAACTTCTTGCTTTTAATTTATCAATTTCTGCTCTTTTATTATTTTTTTTTTGGAATATAATTTTCTCTTCTTTTTTTAGTTTCCTAAGGTTGAAACTTACATTTTTAATGTTAGGTCTTTATTTTTTTCTAATGAATGCATTAAATACATAAATTT
Source organism: Homo sapiens (assembly GCF_000001405.40). Lineage (NCBI taxonomy): Eukaryota > Metazoa > Chordata > Mammalia > Primates > Hominidae > Homo > Homo sapiens. The sequence goes on from NC_000002.12 coordinate 57,537,294, forward strand.
CCCTGTAATCACTGCTACTGCTCACAAATTTTGATACCTTATGTTTTCATTTTCATTTAATTCAAAATATGTTAAAATTTCTTTTGAGACTTTTTCTTAGGCCCATGTGTTACTTAGAAGTGTGTTGTTTGATCTCTAAATATTTTAGGATTTTCTAACTACATTACTGTGATTTCTTATTTAATTCCATTACGGTCCAAGAACATACTTCGTACAATTTATACTCTATTCTTTAAAATTTAATAAGGTATGCACCATGTCATTTTAAACTGCCCAGAACTTCTGTTCATTTTCTAATTTTACTGGATGGAATTTAAATTTGCTCCACAAAATTATGTCCCTAAGTATTTTGAAATGTTGTATTTCCTGAATGTGGAGTAAACCAGCAGGCTAGGAGGCATTTTGTAGGAGAGTCCCCAGTGCCTTTAAGACAGGCCCTTTGCTGTATTTTAAAGCAGGAATGCCCTTAAAAATGGTAATTGCATCTTTAGGTTACATATGACTCTAAACATGAATAAATGAAAGTATAAGCATGAAATAAAAAAATTGAAGCCTTTTGTGGTTTAGTAAAAGAGGGTGCATGGTTGAACATTATTTGTGGCTTTGTTAATAATCATACAGTGGTCTCACTGAAAAAGAATTTGAAATAATCTGAGATGTGCTAGAAAAGTTGTGCTACAACTTCTTTCTTCCATTTTTACACCTTACCTTGTTCATTCAGGATAGCTTTGAATGATCTTACATTTGTGTAATGACTTTGCTGTATTTTTAATCTTTCTATTTTCCTAGAGATTTTCTTTAGAACATTTCCCTTGAAGGCTGGAAACAATTTGGTTAGGACCAGTGAAAAGGTTTGCAAGTAGAAGTGCATATTGAGAAAAGGTTAGGGTTATCGGATCCCCTATCTGATACGTGTAACATATGCTTTAGCAATTGGAATATATGGCATAGAACAATGAGTTTTCTCGTCAGGGCCCAACAAAAGAAAGAGGTGTTCATTTACAAGACAGTGTAAGGAATGTCCCCTCCTGCTCCTTTTAGTTATATGAATTGTCAGTGTGGAAGTTGGACTCAGCTGGGGAGAAAATCTATGTTGTTATTACACTTGGGGTTTTAAAGTAACAATAAAAGATTTTACGTCTGCATCAGAAGAGCTGTGACACTGCCTAAGACTAATGGCAAGGGGTCTGTTCTTAAATCCCCAGAGGTGGTTTTCAGCCTGATGAATTCTGCATCATCCAGCTGTTTGGTTTATTTGTTTATAAATTATCCAAATCTCCCATACTCTAATAGCAGTAATAATGCAAATGCTATTTGCCAAGTTTCTTGGAAATTGTCTAATGATTTATCTTAAGGTCAATTTAGCTTCAGGTTAAGTGATTATTATTTACTCAAGGGCTATTTCTAAAAAAAGAGTTGTACATTAAATTATAGTGAATTTTTGTAAGTAATTGTGATGAATATGGCATCTTTGTATACCTGATGATTGACTCCTTTGGTTTGTTTCAGGAAACATTAGCAGGAACTGACTTTCTCATGCTGACTTATTAAGGATCTTCACTTCTTCCAGATTCCTATATTTTGGACATTTCACTGCTCATTAGATTCTCCACCAAGGATAATGAAGGGGATAGAAATAAGAAGAATTTGGCTGGTGAAAAAGATTGTCACAATGATTGATACATTGACTAACAAAAACTTGCCAAGTATATGAGAATTTTCTTATTTTAATATCTCCTCATGGCTCATAGTTAGCCAAGATCTTATGCATACAGGCACTTATTTTACATTTCAGGAATCTTCATTACAATTTGCAAGTGTTATTTTCTGTGTAAGATGTCATATTATTCGCTGTATTGTGAAGACTTTTATTTTATATGTATGAAGAATTTCAGTTTCTGTGACGCCTCAATACCTAATGATGCTTGTCATTAGTTCTGGTGCTCTTCTGTACTAAAAATAAGTTTGATTGGCATGAACAGTCACTGTATTCTTATCCTAGGATTTTTTTCCCATTTAGATAATCAAATTTAAAAATCAATACTGTGCATTTTAATGAAGAATCTATTTTAAAGTTAATCTTCTAAAAACACCATAGCAGATTCTTAACTTATACCTGGAACACAGCCAGAAAAAGTTTGGCAATGTAGCAATCAGACAATCAGTCATTAGACAATTGTTCTTTTTCTTTAACTTATTTATGAGGCCACACACAAAAAGGAGTAAAGAACCTTGCAGGAACATCCTGTAAAGAGTATAGAAGGGGGTGGGCATAAGATTTAAACTGATGAATCCTCAAATGATTTTATTAAAATCTAAAGGTTGCATAATTTATAAAGAGGATTTTCTAAATTACTAACAGCACAATAATCATTTACAACTGAGGCAAGACATCACTTTCTCTCATACAACTAAGAACAAACTAGTTTGAAGAGACAAAGTTTCCAAAAAGTACATGTGTACATGGTTGTGTTTTCTGCAAGGGGTCCCAAAAGCCTCCCCTTCTCAGTGCATGAAGAAAACAGCCTCATTTGTCAGTTTGCCAATGATGTGAGACCTCCCTGTTCAATAAAGTAGCTTCATCCTTTCTTTATTCAAGCAAGACAAGTTTGCTGGACACGGCAGAAACTGAGAAGAAGACAGTACATCTATTTTCCACTTGGTGGAGGGAGTAAGCAAGGCTTAAGAGAAAATGTCAGAAGCCTGTTAAAAGACAGAATCCTATACCTCACCAAAAAGCTACTGCAGATATGCAAAGACGACAGGGACCTGCATCCATTCTAACAGAGAATAATGTAGGCTGGGGTGCAAGAGGATCTTCGGTCCTACTGTGACCTCCAACTTTTCCTTCTACTTGTGGCTTCTTCCAATCTCATCTCCAGCTCTCTCGTTTGGGATATTTAACTTTTAAGAAACTGCTGGTTTCCATAACAGTTATTCTATTTTACATGGACACCAATAATACACGGGGTTCTAGTTGTTCCATATCCTCACCAATATTTGATATTTTAGTATTTTTCATTTCAAGCATTCAAATGAGGGTGTTGTCGCATCACACTGTGGTTTCAGTTTGCATTTTTCCAGTGATTCAGTGGCACCAAACAACTTTTCATATGTGCTGTGGGAATTCTTATATAAAGATTTGGTAAAATGTTAGACTCTTTCGTCCATGTTTTAATTGTGTTGTTTTTCTTTTCATAATTAAGTTACAGGTGTTCTTCATATAACCTTAATAAAAGCTAAGAGTCAGATACATGTTTTAAAAATACCTTTTCCAAATCTGTGGCTTGACTTTCACTTTTGCAATATTGTTTTTTGATAAGCAAAATATTTACATTTTAGCTAAGTCCGATTAAATGTTTCTGTTTATTATTAGTGACGCTTGATCTCACCTAAGAAATGTTTTCCAACCCAAAACTTATGAACATATTTTATTATAGAATATTTATAGATTTAACTTTTACATTTAGGCCTGTGAACCATCTCAAATTACTGTTTTGTGTGTGATATAAGAAAACTTCAAGTTTTTCCATATAATTATCTAGTTGTTCCACTATTAGTTACTGAAAATAATCTCCTTTCTCAGATTAAGTTTGACAAAAATCAGCCGATTACATGTGTGGAGATCTAGGCCTAGAATATCTATTTTGTGCTATTGGTATTTTTTTTTATCCTAACTCCACCAGCATCATGTCTTACTTATTCTAGTTTTACAATATGTACCAAAATCTGGTACTAAAATCCTCCAATTTTGTGTTTCTCCTTCAAGATTGTGTTGGCTAGTCAAGAGCCACATAATGAAGTTTTCATTTTTAAATAAGTTTCTTCAATCTACATGTCAATTTCCACAGAAAATTCTGCTGTAATTTTTGTTGGAATTGTCTTGAAATTATAGATAAATTTAGGAGAAATGACATCTCAATAAAATCAAGTTTGCCAATCTTTAAATTAACATTTTTCTGGGGTTTTTTGAACATCTTTAATTTCAAACTATCAAACAAGTTTTTATACTTTGTTGTATGGAGTTTTTACATATTTGTTAATATCTTCCTGCATTTTTAATTTTTGAAACTATTATAAATAATAATTTTCTAAATTTGGGTTTCCAGATTTTGTTTGTTTTTGGGGGACTATTCTATGGACATGCATTGATGTTTTTACATTTACTTTATATCCTTTATATCCAGCAATATTGCCAAGTTAATTTATCCTTTCTAGCAGTTTCTTTATAGACGGCATTGATTTACACTTTTGATACACACAATTATGTCATTATAGGAATATAGTTTTATTTTTCCTTTTATTTATATATGCTCTTTCTTTCGTCTTTCATTCATTCTTTCTTTCTTTTTTCCTCTTTTCCTATTACTTTTCCTAGTACTAGCTAGGACCTGCAGAACAGTATTTTTAAAACATTGATGGTAAAATTGGAACTTTTTTCTTCCCAAATATAGGAGGGAAAGTTTTTGTCATCTGTTTTGTCATCATTAAATATACTATTACCTGTATTCCCTATAGGTTTTCCATAAATGCCTTTGTCATTTTAAGGAAGTTTCTTTCTATTTCTAGTTTGCTAATATCATTTCTATAGCTAATTGATTTTGAATTTTAATTGAATAACTTTTCTTAATTGAGACGATTGTGTTTTCTTCTTTATTATGTGTATTGATAGATGGTGATGATTGATTTATGAATGTTAACCTAGTCTTTCTCTCTTAGGATAAAACTCATTTAATCATGATTTCAAGTATATTGATAAATTTAATTTGCTAATATTGATAAAGGAATTTTGGAATGATGATGCATTAGTCAGTTTTCACACTGACTGAAACTGAGTCATTTATCAACAAAAGAGGTTTAATTGACTCACAGTTCTGCATGGCTGGAGAAGCCTCAGGAAACTTACGATCATGGCAGAAGGCAAAGGAGAAACAGGCACCCTCTTACACGGTAGCAGGAGAGAGTGTGCCATAAGGGGAAATCCCAGACACTTATCAAACAACCAGATCTCATGAGAACTTCCCTACTATCAGGAGAATAGCATGGGGGAAACTGCCCTCATGACTGAATCACCTCCTACCAGGTCCCTACCTCAACACATGGGGAGTACAATTCTAGATGAGATTTGAGTAGGGACACAGAGGCAAACCATATCAGATGCATATTTTTTTTTTCCTTTTAACACCTTTGTCAAGATTGTACTGGTTTATGAAGTAAATGTGAATATATCTTCTCTTCTATTTTCTGAAATATATAAGATTGGCATTTTCTTTTTAAAAATATTCTTTTTAGGGGTAGCTTCCTATTTCTGCTGACATCTTTCCCATCCAGTTGCTTAGCTGTTCATCTCCAAGTTCATGTACAGGTTTCTAATAGGTATTTAGAATCATCGTTCAATAATTAAAACATCTAGTTCAATTGTGGCTTGGCTTCTATAAGCTCTTTTATTTCTTGAAAATGGGCAATGCTTTCCTACCTTTTTGCTTGTCTAGTACTTTCTGTTATTGTATGCTGGACATTATGGATGATATATTATAGACTGTGGATTATGCTATCTTTTTGCTTTGGAGGCATTTGATTACAGGTGGATTGTTTTATTTTCTTCAGCCTTGTTTTTTGTCTTTTTAAGGATGAGTTTATTTCAGTTTTGCCCTTAGTTCTAGAGTAAAGAACTTGCCAAAGATAGCATAAAGTAGTCAGCATTAGATCTTTACTTTAAATGCATGCCTGTTTGAGGGTTTCAACTGAATGCCTGGCTTAGCTACTGAGGAGTCTGGACTCTAGTTGAGTCAAAACTTTGTCATCTACACAACTTTTCGGGCATGATCTTTGTGGAAATGTCTGCTGAGAAATCTCTGCTGAGCTGTCGGCCCTTCATCCTGCTATTATGCCTTAATGGAATTTCACTTTGCACCCCAAGAATCAGAGGATAACTCCTCTTCAGATTTATAGATAGTGAGGCCTATGGCTACCTTCCGCCTGCCAACACGCTCCACAAATTCCAACCATGTTAGCAGCCCCCAAACACCAAACTCTTGTTTTACTCTACCCAGTGAGAGTTCTTCCTACTTTCAAGCATCGGACATTGCCCCAGGCAGAAAGCCATGACAAATAGAACGCTTCCCCTACACTCCCAAGAGGATTTCAGCCTTACAATGGCTGCTATCCAATAGCTATAAATATTTGCTTCACATAATTGGTCTAGTTTTATAGTTGCTTAGATAATCAGTTAGATCTAATACTAGCTCCTTTAACAATACTGGAACTAGAAGTTGTGGACAGCTCGTATTCATCATTCAAGGTAGCAGCTTTACCTGGGACTCTTTCCCCACATCTGGATTAGAAGTCCCAGTCAAAATGCCATCTAAATTGTTTATAATTCTGCCACTATAGCATTTAACCCACTTTTGTGTTTATTTATTTAATCATTTGTCTTCACCAATCGATTGTAATCTGGCGAATGCATTGCCACCTCTATCTCCCTAACTAAATACTCTTAGGAGCTTATCAAAATACATGACACACGGTGGGCATTCAACAAGTACATCCTAAATAAATAATTAATTAATATGTTCATTTCAACATTTCCTTGTGCCTTTCACAGCAGATGTCTTCATTATTTATCTTTGGTAAAAATAATTAAGCAGTCATTTTGTAAATAGTCATGAATATTTACTATACTTTAAATATGTTCTAGGTAGCATGACATTTTCAAGGAAGTATACACGAGGGTTTATTACTTTACTGAGAATAAAGTCTATGGGGCAGACAATTTACAATACAGTGTGATAGAAATCTAAAGAGATGCCAAAGAGTTGGTCAGGTAATGTTGTGCTATGCCAATGTTAAGAGTTCTAATGTTAGTATTCACATAACTAATTTTCATAGTCTCGAAATCTTCTGACATTTTCTTCCCTTTGAAATATTTATTTTCAGGATGGTAAACTTTTTATTCACATAATAACTATTTTTAGGGATAAGAAGGTCAGAAGCACTAACTTTCTTCATTCCTTTCCTACCACATGTTTAGAATTCACAAACCAGCTTAACGGCTTAATAAAAGATTGAATTCTCTTTCTTCTCCTTCCTCGAAATCTTCTCAAGACAGTCTAAAAAGCATTTCCCAGGTTTAATGTCAAAATAGAAATTAGCAACTCAGGGCTGAACTCCTAGGAACCCTCATTCTCTGTGAGCTCTGGAACCAGGCTCTATTTTGAAAATTGTGGAAAATCAAAGTTTCTCTGTAATGATGTTGCTCAAATATCTGACCTGAAATGATTATATAGACCAATTTAATACTGAAGAATAAAAGCTTATCATAAAATGAGAAGACATTAAACAATACTCTGATGGTAAGGATTTCATGTAAGAATGTATGGTTTTGATCTCTTAGAACAAAATTGACATTGAACTAAGACATGCCAACCACTGAGGAGTAGCATGAGTTTTAGTCACAGCATCTTGAGTTTGGTGAGTTACAATAGAGAGCCTGTGTCACTCAGCTCCACAAATTCTACCACCATGAAAAGTTTCCAGGGAGTGGTAGAATATGTTTGTCCTCTTTTGCTTGCAACCCTGGTAAACTGCTCAAGAGGAATTTTCTCATTCCAGATGAGAACAAATAATGCCCTTTCTCTTCTAGACAAGTGACTATTTCTTCCCCCAAAACCACAGATGCACAGAATAGTGATAAAAATACAAACTTATATGCTGCCTCCTATTGAAACTTCCAAAGACCAAAAGAGGAAAAAAATTGTGAGGGGGCTTAGCCAAAAGACTTACTGAGGCTATACAGATTATCTTACATTCAGGTAATATATGATGCTGGTGTTGGGCTGATACATAGTGATGCTGGGGTAGGGTTGGAGGTAAGTATTATACTAATAGTCACATATTCTCAGAAATCTGGGTCCTTTGAGGTCTGGCCAGAAAAGGAATAGCAGTTCTGTCAGAGGACATAGTAACTGCAAGAAGAGTAGCACAGACTAGGTGCATATTCTGATGCCAGAAGACCTTTTCAGACAGGGTCAGCCTGTAACAGAAATGGCTTTTAATACAGGACAGTCCAGATTCCCAATTGTGTTGACATACTGGGCTACCCAAGCACATCACAGGTACAAAGGAATTAGGATGCTGGGGCTTATTTGGGCTAAATTACTCACAGGTGCTTCTAACAAAGGTGGCAGATTGAACATACACATTTACCTCTATATCCTCCCTAAATCCCATGAAATGACCAAAAACGTGTGAAATAAACCCAAAAGACAAAAGAATTGAATAGGAGATGACAGCGACCCAATTTTAGACCTGAAAAGCAAATGAGCAAATGGTTTCTCATTGAACAAACCAAATAGAAAAATGAAAACAGAATATGCAAAGAAGCAAAAAATAAATAAATAAAGCAAGCCAATTCACATTACAGAACACAAAGTTTAGAATTTGCAGACACTGGCGAGTTCTGAAAGTCAGGGTTCCCTTGGGGATGAAAATCACAAGAGCAAAGTATTTTGTTTTGAAAACAGACATTTCCATTGTGTCTAAAATAGTGTTTGGCATATTGTAAGCACTTGGTAAATATTTGTTGAAGAAATGAATTAATAAAGTCAAGTCTTTCTAAAGAACAGCTAGACCCCCACCACTTTATAGGACTGTAAGTTTAATTACTGAAGAGATAGAACAGAAGGGCTCTGGGTTTAGAAACATCAGATACAGCAGACGGTGAAGGTAAAGATAAAATTTGTTTCTGTACCCTAAAGTATGAGAACTATCCCTCTCTGTTTGCCCCAGAGAATACTACAGGTTTATTCTCTGGGAAAACAATTTTAAGAGGAGAGATCCACAGATACTGACAGAAATTCCTAAATAAGCTGCACAAACAAACCTACCCATAATGAATCTCAACAAACATATTTTCCTCTCTCTCTTACACATATACCCCCCTTTAATCAAGTTTAGTGGCTCACTACTAAAGTCATGGATTACCACACATTTGAGAAAAGTCCCTAAGATAACAGAGATCAAAATAAAAAAAAAAAGATAGGAAAAATCGCAAAGAAACTTGGAAAATAGAGACAGTGTGGAAGGCTGAATACAATTAGCAGGGGAAAAATAACCCAGCCATGTTATGCTCAGAGAAATAATTGAGGTTGCTGCTTCCATGAAAGAAGCGATGATTACACAAAAGAGAACATTTAGAAAACAAAGGAGTGCTCTTGAAATAAAATACAAACATGCCAAAGGAAAATAAAAATTCAGTAGAAATTTTAGAAAATTGACCAAATCTCAAAAAAAGACCCAAAATACAAAAAAGAAAGGAAAGGAAGAGAAAGGAAAGCAAAGGAAAGGAGAGGAAAGGAAAGGAAAGGAAGAAAAAAAGAAAGAAAGAGAGAGAAAGGAGGGAGGGAGGGAGGAAGGAAGAAAATAAAGAGAAAAAAAGTAAAAGAAAGAAGAAAGAAGCTAGACACTGTGGCCCATGTTAGTAATCCCAGAGATTTGGGAGGCTGAGGCAGGAGGATTGCTTAAGGCTAGGAGTTTGAGACCAGCTTGGGCAACACAGTGAGACCACAAACAAATTTTAAATAATTAGTCAGGCACGGTAGTGTGTGCCTGTAGTCCGAGCTACTCAGGAGGCTGAGGCAGAAGAATTGCTTGAACCCAGGAGTTCAGGTTTACAAATAGTGTAGTGATTATGCCATTACGCTCCAGCCTGGGTGGCAGAGCAAGACTCTGTCTCAAAAGAAAAAAATAAAAACAAAAACAAAAAGCAAGAAAGGAAAGAAGAAAGAAAAGAAGAAACTGCAAGGAGAGAAGAAAATTCTAAAGTTGGTTCAGGCGATCTAATATAAAAAGAAGAGAATTCTAGAAAGAGAAAAGATAAACAAAATTGAATAAGTACAATTGTTGGAGAAATATTTCAAGAAAAGACCCACCATATTGTTTGCAAAAAAGAATAAAGAGTGAACCACACTGAGACACATAAATACGAAAGTTCTGAACCTTGAATACAAAAAGAAGATCCTAAGCACTTCAAGAGGAAATAGGAGGTCACATGCACAAGGTAAGAAGTCAAAAGTGCTTCAGAAATCTCTAAACAAAACAAAAACAAGTAAAAATGAAAACACTAGAAACTAGAAAACAAGAGTACATTGCTTTCAAAGTTTTGAGAAAAATGATTTATGATCTAGAAGTTCCTTTCAGCCAGGTTATCAAATTTCAAACAAAAACAAAAACACTCAAGCACGTTTTCTTTGGAAGTTCCTAAACAATTTATTCCCCAAATGAAAGCATAAGTCAAAAAAGTGTAAGACACAGAATCCAGGTGCTCTAGCAAGGGAAAATCTGTAGAACGTTTGCAGAATGACAGTTGTGCCACAGGCCCATTCAAATTAGAGTAGGGCAACAGGAGAGAAGAGAACAAAGCTGAGGAGAGGACAGGATGGGAGGGGAAGGGAGAGGAGGGGAGGGGAGTGGAAGGGAGGGGAGGGGCAGCGAAGGGAAAGGGAGAGGGAAGGAGAGGAGAGAAGGAAAGGCGGGAGGGAGGGAGGAAGGAAGGAAGGGAGGAGTGAAGGAGAAAAAATAAAGAGAAAGGAAAGAAAAGGAAAGGAAAGGAGGAAGGAAGGAAGAAAGGAAGGAGAGAGAGAAAGAAAGAAAAAGAAAGAAAGAAAGAAAGAAAGAAAGAAAGAAAGAAAGAAAGAAAGAAAGAAAGGAAGGAAGGAAGGAAGGAAGGAAGGAAGGAAGGAAAAGAAAAAAGAAATCAAGGAAGAAATGAAAGCAGGAAGGAAGGAAGAGAGGGAGGGAGGGAGGGAAGAAAGAAAGAAGGAAGGAAGGGAAAAAAGAGGAAGGAAGGAACTGATGTGTTTGAATATATAGAGAGAAGATTTTCAAATGTTTGAGAATTTAGAAAGAAATTACTAATAGGTAGATAGAAACCTAAGCAAAGGTTAAAAAGAGGTAATTATTAACTCCAGGAAAGCAAGAAATAAAATACTCTTTTCTACATAACATAGTGTAAATCCAGATTTTCTCAAGTCATAAAAAGTCCCATCTGCAGATAATATATATACGATCAAATGGGTCCACACACTGAATATTGATCAAGCCATATTTGATGTAACTTTATTGATTGTATTAGAGAATATGTGCCTGTGTGTTTGGAAAGAGGGCTGAAAGATGCTTCACGAGTCTTCATTTTGCACAGTAGAAAAGAAACAGATATTCCATAAAATTCACTAAATGTAAAATTTGCCCACAAGCATCCTACATAGAAATAAGAAAGTATGTAATCTAGAAAAGTTTTAAAAATGATAAAAATTACCTCCTCTGAGGAATGGGAGTTTGTATGACTCGCAAAGTACAGTAAAAGGACTACTTATTTTGGCTATGAGCCTTGCAGAACTATTTGATCAGTGATACTCCATGCAAGTATTTCTTTGATAAAAACAAAACCAAATTTAAAGAACTCGCCAATTCTTTCGACATGAATCCTAAAAATGGCATTTATTAAATATAGCTCCGTTGCCTAAATTCATCATCTTTTTGTACTAGCCAACCTTTTATATAAGGTTGAAATGCTTCAATGGCCTTACGGAAGTCTTAGAGACACCTGAACAAGACACAGCTACAAGACAGCCTTTTTAATACACAATTTTCAGCAAAATGACAAATACACAACAACCTGTTTAATATGGTCCCACATGTGAGAGAAAAAAACTGATATATTACACACACAAACACGTGCTTGCTTGCATGCACACACACGTTTGTATATTCATAGAAACATTTTAGAAGTATCAGCAAGAACTTCTAAGCCTGATAAATTTCTGCACGTTAGATTTAGATCCTAGGGCTCAGGGAGACATACTATTACATAACTTCAGTAAAGTTTGGATTTGTTGTTTACTGTATGCATATTTTAGCTTTTTAATCTAAACAAGTCTCTACTTTTAAAAAATAAGGTTATAGAAAGTTGGAGAGAAAAAATAATGTAATGTACATAAGATATATGATCACTTCTATTTTTGTCTATTTATCTATTGAATACATTTCAGTACAATTGTCCTCTATTACAGATTATTTTTGAAGAATACGCTTGTGACTAATGTACAAAATAGCAAATTTGAAAGAAAAAAATTAAATTCATCAATATGGGTGTATTTTTTCTTTCTCTCCCTTCTTAATTCCATGAAAACATGTTTGGCATATTTGTTTATAATATTGTAATCTAACTTAATATTCACTATTTCAAACTCCATGTTTCTGTGGATTCTATCTTATAGGGTCTATGTGTTGTTCTATTATGTTGATGCACAGTGTCTCTTGTAACCATTTCCCTACTGCAATTTGACTTTTTCATACTAATGTGCTCAATTTTTTTTAGCCTTGCATAGTTTGAGTTCTGTTTTCTGTCAGCTTACCAGTAGGTGGTGCTGAGTAGTAGCTATAAATAATCCGGTTTTAGAATACGTGCTCCACTAAAATCCTTCCTCTAGAGTGACAGCACTGAGCCAAATCAGGAAGTGGTTTAAACTGGTTTTCCAGTAGTGGGATGGGTTTCCTCTATTTCATTCATATTATCTCGTATTCTTCCTCTTCGGAGTAATTCCGAACATGGTTTCAAGATGACTGCCTGCAAACAGGGTTACTGTCTGTGGTTCTGACAAAGAGAAGATGCAATGCTCCAGAAGGTGTCTTACTTCCTGACAAAGCACCTGCCACAGGTTTAACCACAATCTTCTGCTGCAATCAATCACTGCAAACTTTCAACTGTCATGCACTAAGCTTTGTGATATGCCCTGTCCTGAGTCTTTCCCATGGACCATTCCAAAATACTTCTCACAACACAATCAGATCCATCTTATTACCCAACTGTATAGATGAGGAAACCAAGACTTAGGCAGTGAAGTGATCCTTTCTACTTCCTGCAACAAATATACTTAATGGAAGCAGTCTGCACTTGGAGCCAGAGAGACATAGGTTGGGTTCTGACTCCTTCATCAACTAATTGTTTATCTCCAGCAAGGAGTTTAACATCACCAAACATCTGTTTACTGATTTGTAAAATAGGAATATTAATGTGTGACCCTCAAAGCTGTCTTGATATTAATTGAGAATACATATGAATGGTCTTTAACACAGTGAGTCATAGGCCCACTACTAAAACATTGCAAATGCAAAGGAAAAACCACAACAAAAACTAATTTCTTCTTCTCTTCCCTTCCTGACTCAAGTGCTTTCTCAACTCCCATACCTGTCTCCTCCCTTCTAACTTAAGAACCAGAGATTTTTCCCCCTCTACTATCCTCAAATTTTCTGTTCCTTTAATTTGCAGTAGAGCATACCACTTCTCACTTTGCATTAATTGCCACTTTCCAGGAGAAAGAAGAGGCAATAATTTAAATCACAATTTCCTGATGCTAAACAAGTGTACCATGTTCTCCCAGAACTAGCACTTGGGGGAAGCAATGTGTCCTGGATGTAGCCCAACCCTGTCAATCTAGGCTGATGTTCTATCTCTATTAGTGATTAAAACCACCTTTGCAGATTATGACAGTGAGGAGAATCTAGCATGGCTGACTTCATCTTGCATCTAGCCTCATAGGCTGGCTATCCTGATGCATTCCTGGTATGGGCCAAGCCCATGGAGGAACTTATTTTGTGGTTTACTTTTGAAGCATGAATGACAGCACTGCTTCCATAAAACTAACATTCTTTTTTCTCAGGGACTGAAAATTTATGAAAGGCCATGAGATTAGGATTATGGGAGGAATTGGAACTCTGCTAAAATGGAGGCATAATTTCTTTAATCCCTTACTGCTTAGGAGTCACGTGACCAGGGGTCACAAGATTTATGACTTCGCCAATTGCTCCTATAGATATCATCACTATTGTAGAACCTAAGATTGGTCTTTTGATAAGTTTTTCATGCTTTTTTGCATTCTGGCAACTGACCAATCCCACCTGAATCCATGACTCATGACTGAACTGGTCCTGTGGCCCCCACCCAGAGGCAGACTTAGTGCATGAGAACCTCTATGATTTTATCCCCAACCAATCAGCAGTACCCATTCTCTAGCCCCTGCCCACCAAATTATCCATTAAAACTCTATCTTCAGACTTCTTGGAGAGACTGATTTGAATAATAACTCCCCCATCTTCTCTGTGGTTAGCCTAGTGTTAATCAAACTCTTTCTTTACTGCAAGACCATGGTCTCAGTAAATTGGTTTTGTCTGCGCAGTGGGCAGGAAAAACCTGTCAGACAACTACACTATTTCAAAGTAAATAGTCACTGTATTAGTCTATTCTCACACTGCTAATAAAGACATACCCAAGAGTGGGTAGTTTATAAAGGAAAAAGGTTTAATTGACTCACAGTTCAGCATGACTGGGGAGGCCTCAGGAAACTTACAGTCATGGTGGAAGGTAAAGCAAACACTTCCTTCTTCACATGGCCATAGCAAGAACTGCCAAGCACAAGAGGGAAAAGCTCCTTATAAAACCATCAGATCTCATGAGAACTCACTCACTATTAGGAAAACAACATGAGGGGAACCACCACTGTGATTAAATTACCTCTCATCAGGTCTTTCCCACGACACATGGGGATTATGGAAATGACAATTCAAGATGAGATTTGGGTAGGGATGCAGCCAAACTATATCAGTCACCTTTTTCCTTTTGCTTTTTTGTTTTTGTAGGTAGAAAAGGGGTAATGCTCACAGCTGTTTCTTTTTACAGTAATTGCTCCTATGTGATATAAATATTACATATATTATATATAATTCTTATATATTGTGTGTAATATATATTTCTTATATTATCTATATTATAATTATATATTATAATATATAATATATAATTCTTATATATTACATATAATACTATCATATATATCATATCATATATATATACATGATAGTAGAAGGCTCATTGCCATCATTTATCATACCTTTTTTTCTCAACAGTGGAGCATGTCAGTGCAGTGTAAGTTAATCTTTTCAAAATGTGTAATCAGGGTAAGTTGCCATTATCTCTTTCAACTCATTTACTTTCTGGAGTCTACTTTTGAAATATCTGTTTAAAACAGCCATGTACAGCTTGCAGTTAATCAATTTATTGGCAAATAAACACCTTACGGTAAGGTGTTTTACTCCCACACTGTAAAGAAAAAGGAGGAATTTTATTTTTCACTTTCTTCTCTAAATCCTCATAGACCATTACCTAGCTATTGTCTTATATACCATTTTAATGGGCTATGAGAAGAACCTTGTGCTTTAAGAAAAAAATTTAGTACATCAAATTTGAAAATTGTGGACTGGCTATTGGTACTTTGGCTTGTTCATCTATGACTATTCACAGCTAAAACATGGACCACTTGTCATCAAGATACTAAATAGTTGAAAGTGGGAAATATTAATGCTATATAAAAATGGCTAATGTTTTTACAAAATTAACAATCTTCCTTTTAGAATTGGTACAATCTTTCCAGAGTGAAAAACTACAGGTTTTGGCAGGCAAAATGTTTAGAGTCACACATGACTTCTGCTATGTTTGACAACCTCACCAACTAGGATGCTGCAAACCTCTAATTTTGAGGCCTCCAGGGTTACCGGTTAGTTCTAATAAGATAACGTGGAACAAGCTAGATTAGATTGATTCAGCAGAATAGATTTAACTCAGAGGGCAATCTTGGAAGCCACTGAGTGATGAAGTAGCTCTCATAGTTAAGTGAATTATTCTCTAAGAAATATTTGGTTTATGTGAGTTTGAAGACATCTACTGGTGGCTCCTGGGCTGTGCAATGCAATAAATCTGACCTGGTCATGCTGTTGCCACTTTGGCAAATGCATTGTCCAACATAATGCATGTTGGACATGCATGTTGGACATACCACTAGGGTGGTATGGTAGAATATTCATGAAGCTACCTCTCTAAACATGCTGGTTGACTATTCCCGTTATTGGGTATGCTGTTTGCCTTGTCTTTATTGCAATGAGGCAAGTCACGTGCATTGTGTTGGTCCAAGTAACAGGATAACTAGGAAAAGTAAGTAGCCTATCAATAGTGGGACAAGCACTGGGGTTTGTCTTACGTACCCACTGTACCTTGGATTTTGCCATTTAGTGGTATTGTGAATTTTATTTGATCATTTATTGGATATACCCACTTCAGAGTAGATTAAGGGATATGCAGTAGCTTTGTGAATATGCTATGACCTAGAAGACCAATAGGAAATAGTAAACACAATGGTTAAGAACTCAAGTTTTAGAAAAACAGCATCTCAATTTGTTAAAAAAGAATGGTTCACTCTCTTATTGTGTAATCCTAGGAAAGCTATTTAACTTCCCTGTGCCTATGCTTTCTCATCTGTAAAATGGAAAGTATAATCATTATATCTCACTGGATTGTTTTGATGATATGAATTAAAATTTAAAGCACATTATGTCTGGAACATAACAACTCCTTAGAAATATTAGCTATTGTAACCTGGCTGAATCAAATGTACTACTACACAGGTGGAGGCCCACTGATCTATGAAACACCACCATCAATATCCACACAGTGACATTTCTGAGACGACTGTATGATTTCTCATACACCACCCACATTTTCCTATGGTCTTTAGCAAGGAGAAAAACACTTTACTAGGAGTTCTACTAGGAGTTTTGAAACACTTTACTAGGAGTTCTAGTTAT
This sequence comes from Homo sapiens, assembly GCF_000001405.40. Taxonomy (NCBI): domain Eukaryota; kingdom Metazoa; phylum Chordata; class Mammalia; order Primates; family Hominidae; genus Homo; species Homo sapiens. Next base: position 57,553,986 of record NC_000002.12, read on the forward strand.
TGCCAGCGCTATTCCAGGACCCTCATGCTCTATGCCTTTTTCTGAATTTAATGCAAATTATCTCCCAAAATATTTATCCGCAAAAAATATAAGTTCTAAAAAAATGCTAAAACTCTACTTTATATAGTTGACAATTTAATATACATAAAATTTTTTAAATCTACAGAAAAATCCATAGAATTAATAGGTGGGTTTATGAAGGTCATCGGATAATTTGTTTCTATTTGTTGGATATAATTAGAAAATAAAATTTTAAAAGCCATAATTTACAATAGCATCGAAATATCAAATACCTAGGTATAAATCTACTGAAAAACATGCAAAAGCTATATAAACATTACTGAGAGAAACGTTAAAAGATCTAAGTAAATGGACATGTTCATGGATTGGAGGACTAACTATTATTAAGATGCTAATTCCTTCTGTATTGGTGTATAGGAGTCAGATTATATCTGTCCATGTAGTAATTCCCTATGACTTGTCACTTGGGCATATTTGATTTTTCTAGCCTGCAGCTGAGTTCTTTCACCATTGCCCTGATACCAACATACAGCAAGGGCTCATTAAATTCCCTTCCATCTTCCCAGCAAAAGACCAGAGCTCTTTAAATAGAACATCTCTTTATACACTCACAATGACCTGTGAAAGAGCTAATACATGGAAATTCAAAGGGATTGTTAACTTTCTGTTAATACTTAACCTCATGACTCAAATATACAAAACCTAGATTTTCATGAAGCTGAATTATTGATCTGTTAACAGCCCTGCCCATATTGAGAAGACGATAAATGAAATCCAGAAGTGAAACCACTGAATTCCAAAGGGAATCTAGGGGAATCCTAGGTCAGAATCTGAACAAGAATGTAAGATTTATTCATTTTCCAACCACGCTTCAGCCAGTCTTTAAAAGCAGGCAACAAATACAATTTTTCTTGACCTCCATTAAGCCCTTTATGTTTTTTTTTTTTTTTAGAGAAGGGGTCTTGCTATGTTGCCCAGGATGGTCTGAAACTCCGGGCCTCAAGCAATCTTCCTGCCTTAGCCTCCCAAAGTGTTAGGATTACAGGCATGAGCCACCAAGCCCGGCCTGCTCATAATTGATTTATTTTATCCTTATTGTGTTTACTCTAACATCCTTGGTTGCTGACTTCACCATGTCTTTCAGCTCACTGGTTATACAACTCCACATCTTCTTTCTGGCTTCCTTCTTCCCATAGTTTCTTCCTTAGCTTTGGTATTTCCCATTGTCTTTAGTGAGAAAATTCTCTCTGTGGTCTCTGATACTAGTAAAATCTATCTTGGCTGTCCATTCTCTTGAAACACTAAATCTTGATAGATGTTGCCATGATTTGAATACTTATATCTCTCCCAAATTCATATGTTGAAACTAATCATCAATGTGATGATATTAGAAAGCTGGATCTATGGGAAGTGATGAGAGCATAAAGGTGGAGCTCTCATGAAGGGATTGGTACCCTTGTAAAAAAGAACCAGGGGAGCTCATTTGTCTCTTCCATCATGTGAGGTGAGGGCACAGAAAGTAACCAGGAAGTAGACCCTCACCAGATACCAAAGCTGTAGGTACCTTTATCATGACTTCTCAGCCTCTGGAACTATAAAAAATACATTTCTGTTGACACCCAGTTTATGGGATTTTTTATAGCAGCCCGAATGGACTAAGGCAGATGGGAAGTGGGACATAACCTAAAATGAATATAGAAGAGCAAGATAGAGAGAGAAGTAAAAAAAAAAAAAGTCATAAGAATTCATTTCAGAAAGCTAAATCCCCACAATAGGGGAAGCCAGAAAAAATTATCAGCTATAACCACAGGGTGCCTGAAACTATGTCCAAAGCAAGAAAAAACAATAGTAGATAATCATACTGCTGGAAAGCAGGGTAAACAAATAACAAAAGGCAAATGAAATTATTTTGCCTTTTCAAAGAGAATAATGACCAAACTGTAAAGGAGAGAATAAATGTCTTTAGGGGAAAATTGAAACTCAGAAAAGATGAGGAGGTAGTGAGAGCTCCCAGCAGCCTTATGAAAATTTTTCTCTTTATATGGAGACGAATTGTATCCTAAGTATTCAGATAACTTATAGTTGTGATGCCAGTGATATTTAAGAATCATGGGAAACCACAGAAGTCCTAAAAGATCACAACAACCTCATTTAGACGAGAAATAAAGATAATGGTTCTTCAAACTACTGCTTAGATAGCTAGGTGCCATAACCTGTTAGATTTATATAAACAGAGTAGTTAACCTAGGCATTACCATTCAGGACATAGGCATGGGCAAGGACTTCATGTCTAAAACACCAAAAGCAATGGCAACAAAAGCCAAAATTGACAAATAGGATCTAATTAAAGAGCTTCTGCACAGCAAAAGAAACTACCATCAGAGTGAACAGGCAACCTACAAAATGGGAGAAAATTTTCGCAACCTACTCATCTGACAAAGGGCTAATATCCAGAATCTACAATGAACTCAAACAAATTGACAAGAAAAAAACAAACAACCCCATCAAAAAGTGGGCGAAGGACATGAACAGACACTTCTCAAAAGAAGACATTTATGCAGCCAAAAAACACATGAAAAAATGCTCACCGTCACTGGCCATCAGAGAAATGCAAATCAAAACCACAAAGAGATACCATCTCACACCAGTTAGAATGGCAATCATTAAAAAGTCAGGAAACAACAGGTGCTGGAGAGGATGTGGAGAAATGGGAACACTTTTACACTGTTGGTGGGACTGTAAACTAGTTCAACCATTGTGGAAGTCAGTGTGGCGATTCTTCAGGGATCTAGAACTAGAAATACCATTTGACCCAGCCATCCCATTACTGGGTATATACCCAAAGGACTATAAATCATGCTGCTATAAAGACACATGCACATGTATGTTTATTGTGGCACTATTCACAATAGCAAAGACTTGGAACCAACCCAAATGTCCAACAATGATAGACTGGATTAAGAAAATGTGGCACATATACACCATGGAATACTATGCAGCCATAAAAAATGATGAGTTCATGTCCTTTGTAGGGACATGGATGAAATTGGAAATCATCATTCTCAGTAAACTATCGCAAGGACAAAAAACCAAACACCACATGTTCTCACTCATAGGTGGGAATTGAACAATGAGATCACATGGACACAGGAAGGGGACTATCACACTCTGGGGCCTGTTGTGGGGTGGGGGGAGGGGGGAGGGATAGCACTAGGAGATATATCTAATACTAAATGACGAGTTAATGGATGCAGCGCACCAGCATGGCACATGTATACATATGTAACTAACCTGCACGTTGTGCACATGTACCCTAAAACTTAAAGTATAATAAAAATAAAATAAAAAATAAAAAATAAAATTAAAGAGATCATTAAATATTGTCTCACATAGTAAAACAATTTCTAACATATAGATTAGCACACTTTATCATCAGAATATCCCTTTACACAGGTAGACATTATTCTTCTCAATTTTTGTTTTAGGTTTTTTATTTTTTGGTTTTTTGTTTTTTTTTTTTACAAATACAGAAATTGAGATTTAGAGAGGTTGAAGTATTTTACACAAGATTAAACAATACTATCTTCCAGGACTGTTTTCGTTACAACTCCTCAACCCTCTCCAAGTTCCATTTTGATATTGGAATGCTGTTACAATCATCTGTTGTTCAATCAAATCTAAATAGTTGATTAAAGATCAAATTAATAGTACCGAAAGTTTTTTTGAGATTTGACAGCATACACATTTTATATACACTACACACAAAAGATATATTTTAAAAGAAATTTGTGCAACATATGACCAGAAAAGTCAGTATATTCTAGCAAATCAAAAAGAAAAATAAAATCATCCAAATAGAAAATTGGGCAGGTAGCAAGTTAGTATATAACACAAATTGCCATTAGACATGCAAATGCAAATTAAAACAAAATATTAAATGGAAAACAATTAGGAAGATTTATAATACTTCTTGTTAGGAAGGGTTAAAGAAGATAAAAATTCAATTTATAGAGATGGTTGTGTAAAATGTTTCGTGCTTTCCAGTGGGCAATCTGGTAATGTATTCCAAAATTTAAGTTTGAATATAATTTGATCCACTTCTGAAAGTTTATCTTAGGCTAAGAATAGTGCAAGTGTACAAAAATGTATATCCCACTATGTATGCTCCATGTTGCTTATAATGAAAAAATTCTGGAAACAGCCTAAATGTCAATGAATAATGAATAGATTAAATAAATTGGAGTATGAGTATATGTGTACAGTGGGGGAAAATTGCATATATTCCAAAGGAAAAGGAATTTTTTTACATTTTAAAATGGGAATGGATATATGATACGTATGTTAGTTAAAATGCAGACGTGTAAAATATAATACAATTTGTATAAAAATATATCCTTTAAAATTCTGTAGAGACAAACAATAACTTGGTAATGATGGTTACCTGTGGAAGTAGAATTTCTGTTACTTTCAGTTTCACTGAAGTATTTTTGTTATTAGCCATAATGTTTGCTTCACATTGTATTACCGTCTTGAAACGACGAGATTTCAAGATTCTATACTTGACTCCTTGCCTAAGTAACACTTTTAACCACAACTTAGTAAAGTCCCAAAAAATGTTTTTATTAACTTTTTGTTGACTCAAAACCAGAAAGGGTCTTTCACAGACAAGATTAAATTATAAAAATTATTTCAAGTTGGATGATGAGATAAAATATTTTTAAAAGACAAGAAATGTGTTCATTTCAGAAATTATTCAAGGTAAAAGTTAGAATGGGAGATTGTCCAATGCTCATATATAAACCCTAAATATTTTAATTTATGATTTGTTAAATATGAGCAAATATGATTTATTTGCTGAATTAAAATGTTTAACATAGTTTAGACTACATTACAAAGAAAAGAGAGTTTGGATTTAGGGAGATAGGTTACCTTTTAAAATATGCACTGCTGAACATACTTAAAAATGCTGCGAAGGAGGTACAAGGAGGAACTGGTACCATTCCTTCTGAAACTATTCCAATCAATAGAAAAAGAGGGAATCCTTCCTAACTCATTTTATGAGGCCAGCATCATTCTGATACCAAAGCCTGGCAGAGACACAATAAAAAAAGAGAATTTTAGACCAATATCCTTGATGAACATTGATGCAAAAATCCTCAATAAAATACTGGCAAACCGAATCCAGCAGCACATCAAAAAGCTTATCCACCATGATCAAGTGGGCTTCATCCCTGGGATGCAAGGCTGGTTCAATATACGCAAATCAATCAATGTAATCCAGCAGATAAACAGAACCAAAGACAAAAACCACATGATTATCTCAATAGATGCAGAAAAGGCCTTTGACAAAATTCAACAACGCTTCATGCTGAAAACTCTCAATAAATTAGGTATTGATGGGATGCATTTCAAAATAATAAGAGCTATCTATGACAAACCCACAGCCAATATCATACTGAATGGGCAAAAACTGGAAGCATTCCCTTTGAAAACTGGCACAAGACAGGGATGCCCTCTCTCACCGCTCCTATTCAACATAGTGTTGGAAGTTCTGGCCAGGGCAATTAGGCAGGAGAAGGAAATAAAGGGTATTCAATTAGGAAAAGAGGAAGTCAAATTGTCCCTGTTTGCAGACGACATGACTGTATATCTAGAAAACCCCATTGTCTCAGGCCAAAATCTCCTTAAGCTGATAAGCAACTTCAGCAAAGTCTCAGGATACAAAATCAATGTACAAAAATCACAAGCATTCTTATACACCAACAACAGACAAACAGAGAGCCAAATCATGAGTGAACTCCCATTCACAATTGCTTCAAAGAGAATAAAATACCTAGGAATCCAACTTACAAGGGATGTGAAGGACCTCTTCAAGGAGAACTACAAACCACTGCTCAAGGAAATAAAAGAGGATACAAACAAACGGAAGAACATTCCGTGCTCATGGGTAGGAAGAATCAATATCGTGAAAATGGCCATACTGCACAAGGTAATTTACAGATTCAATGCCATCCCCATCAAGCTACCAATGCCTTTCTTCACAGAATTGGAAAAAACTACTTTAAAGTTCATATGGAACCAAAAAAGAGCCCGCATTGCAAAGTCAATCCTAAGCCAAAAGAACAAAGCTGGAGGCATCACTCTACCTGACTTCAAACTATACTACAAGGCTACAGTAAGCAAAACAGCATGGTACTGGTACCAAAACAGAGATATAGATCAATGGAACAGAACAGAGCCCTCAGAAATAACGCCGCATATCTACAACTATCTGATCTTTGACAAACCTGAGAAAAACAAGCAATGGGGAAAGGATTCCCTATTTAATAAATGGTGCTGGGAAAACTGGCTAGCCATATGTAGAAAGCTGAAACTGGATCACTTCCTTACACCTTATACAAAAATCAATTCAAGATGGATTAAAGACTTAAACATTAGACCTAAAACCATAAAAATCCTAGAAGAAAACCTAGGCATTACCATTCAGGACACAGGCATAGGCAAGGACTTCATGTCTAAAACACCAAAAGCAATGGCAACAAAAGCCAAAATTGATAAATGGGATCTAATTAAACTAAAGAGCTTCTGCACAGCAAAAGAAACTACCATCAGAGTGAACAGGCAACCTACAAAATGGGAGAAAATTTTCGCAACCTACTCATCTGACAAAGGGCTAATATCCAGAATCTACAATGAACTCAAACAAATTGACAAGAAAAAAACAAACAACCCCATCAAAAAGTGGGTGAAGGACATGAACAGACACTTCTCAAAAGAAGATATTTATGCAGCCAAAAAACACATGAAAAAATGCTCACCATCACTGGCCATCAGAGAAATGCAAATCAAAACCACAATGAGATACCATCTCACACCAGTTAGAATGGCAATCATTAAAAAGTCAGGAAACAACAGGTGCTGGAGAGGATGTGGAGAAATAGGAACACTTTTACACTGTTGGTGGGACTGTAAACTAGTTCAACCATTGTGGAAGTCACTGTGGCGATTCCTCAGGGATCTAGAACTAGAAATACCATTTGACCCAGCCATCCCATTACTGGGTATATACCCAAAGGACTATAAATCATGCTGCTATAAAGACACATGCACATGTATGTTTACTGCGGCATTATTCACAATAGCAAAGACTTGGAACCAACCCAAATGTCCAACAATGATAGACTGGATTAAGAAAATGTGGCACATATACACCATGGAATACTATGCAGCCATAAAAAATGATGAGTTCATGTCCTTTGTAGGGACATGGATGAAATTGGAAATCATCATTCTCAGTAAACTATCGCAAGAACAAAAAACCAAACACCGCATATTCTCACTCATAGGTGGGAATTGAACAATGAGAACACATGGACACAGGTAGGGGAACATCACACTCTGGGGACTGTGGTGGGGTGGGGGGAGGGGGGAGGGATAGCACTGGGAGATATACCTAATGCTAGATGATGAGTTAGTGGGTGCAGCGCACCAGCATGGCACATGTATACATATGTAACTAACCTGCGCAATGTGCACATGTACCCTAAAACTTAAAGTATAATAATAATAATAATAATAATAATAATAATAATAATAATAATAAAATGCTGTGAAGACAGAGAGTTTTTTTCTTCCCATTGTATCCCTCAATCAATGCCTAGAGTAGTGCTGACACAAAATAGACACTAAATAACTATTTGTTGCAGAAATAAATTAGGAGCAGCAAAAGTACTGTTTTTTTCCTCTCAATGGAATGCCACATTAGAAGAGAATTTCACCAATTCAACAATGACAGGATTATGAGAAATTTAGAAACCATGTTGCATGAGAAATGAAAAAGAGAGGCTCTACTTTCCATCTAGATAAGCAAAGAGCATTGTGCATATGGTGGCTGTGAAAAAATAACCTATGCAAGAAAGATTAGAATAAGTCTGTGCATCAGCAGAGGGCAGAATTCTGACAAGGGCCTCGGATTTATGGAAAGATATACTTCTTATGAATATAAGTTAAATTTTTCTGAAGTATATTATTGTCTAAAACTGTAAATACTAAACTCTCTATCCCCTATAGTACTCAAACTTGACTTCTAGGAAATGGTATTTAGAGCATTTCTGCATGGTGTGGAAGTTTGGGTGATTACTAAATCAATCATTTCTCAGTCTACTTATTGAAAAACGTTGCACTGTGTGTTTTCATTTTAGTTAAAATAATGTTAAGCTATCAGAAATTGACTTCAAGGCAATACATTTAAATTTCATATCCTACTCCTCTTTCTAGAAAAACTATCACAAAAGCTCTGTAACATTTTACTACCAATAAAATTGATGTCACCAAAAGAATCCCTTTCACCTCTCATAAAATTTCATGGGCCTATCACTGAATGCACGAGCACTCACACAAGCACATACACACACACACGCAGCAATAGGTGTTTTTTATGGAGTGGTATTCACAACTTTGCTTAAATTAGCTTTAGAGACCAAATCATGAAGATGTGTTAGCTCTGGTATTAGAATCTTTTCATTAATCAGAGAATTTATAGTTATGTGTTAGCTTCATCTGAATAAAAAAAGTCTAATAAATCAATTCCATTCCAGGTTGAGCCTGTCATCTTGAGTAACGATGATGGCAGAAAATTATAGGTTTATATCTTGTCTGGGAACCTCATAAGTCACAAGTACAATACATTTAAAGCACTTTGAGGGCTCTCAAGTAAGACATATGATGCTATTACTCATCACAATCTGTGAAGCAGCCATACTGTGGCTTTTAACAGCAATTTTGTAAACATTTCAAATTTTTATTTTTAAGAAAACTCAATGCTTTGTTATACACACACAGGCACCTATATATACATACCCACATATATGTATCCTAAAGCTACATAATTACCAGATGTTTTCTCTGTAGGAGGCATTAGAAGAAATGACTTTATAAAATTGCTGTATAAAACATAGTAAGGGACACTAAGTTGCTATCAGTTCAGCTTATCCTCAGGATGTATTTTAATGACTTTAATGCTCCTATGAATTATTTTTATCTGAAGGCCAATTTCTTTTATTTTAATAGTGTTTGGTTTCTTTCCAACCTTTTTAAATCACTCAATTTAAATTTATGAAAGCTTCTTGATGTCAGAAATATCAGGATTCTAGTCCTGGTGGCCATCCCCCAGTCACGAAGGCTGTGACCTCGAGCAAGCACCCGCCCTTCTGCTGCTCAGTCCCTCATCAATAAAACAAGGCCATTGGACAGGCAGATCACTAAGTCCTTTCCAGCACATTCTCCATCTGTGCCTGTTTAAACAAAAAATAATTTAGAATTTGACTGACAACATAGGTCAAAAGTTTGTACTCAAGGACATGAAAAGCATTCAAAGCCTCTTCTCTGAAATTTGATGTCTGTTAGAGTTCCCCAGAAACAGACTCTGAGCCAAGGATTTGTGTGAAAATTACTTATTGGGAAAAAAACAATAGACGAGTGAGGAATTGGGATTAAAAAAGGGATGGATACAAGCCAAGCAAGGATACGGAACTAAGGAAAACCACAGAGAGCATAGCTCAATTCCACATGGAACTTTTGGAGACAGAGGAAATTGTGGTCTTAATCCAGGCTAAGGGAGATGGAGTATTTATACTTCCTCCCCTGAAACTTTTCAGACCTTTGATAAGAGCTTGGACCTCAGGAGATAATAAATTTCCAGGCACTCTCCACCAGCCTAAGGGCAGCCTCTGCACAGAGATGCCAACACTGGCTGCTGAGAGAGAAAGCACTCAGGGAACTGAAATGTTCCAAAAGATTAAAGGGGTCCAAAAGGATATGGGTGAAGGATTGAAAACTTTAGGGGGTTACATAATGAGGTCCTAAGCATGTGTAAAATGTCAGCAATGTTAGCCTCCATCTCTACTCCCTCCCAGGCAAGCAATGAAAGCACATTATGGTCTTTGTCCCCAAAACGTTATACTTATTAAAAGGATTCTGAACACCTAAAGATGCCCAACAGATTATACGGTGGTGAACAAAACAGACATGATCTGATCATCTTATACTCCATGAGACTCATGGGCCTCATGGTAAAATGGAAGAAGTAGATGACAATGATAAATTATAATAATTCAATCACGTAACATAACAAGATACATTGTGAGAATGACAGAAAGTGCTCATTACAAAATGAGAAATCAAGGAAGGTTTATCTGAGATATTGACATTTAAGATGAGACCTAAATGATGGTTGGGAATATCCAGATAAAAAATAGTGAAGTGGGGGTTGGGGGGTAGCATTCAGAAAGAAAAGACCATGGGCAATGGGGTTTTGCATAGTCAAAGCACTGAAATAAGGCCATGTGGCTGGAAAGTTTTAAACAGGTGGAGAGCAATGTGAGTTTCAAGAGGTAAATGACAGTAAAATCTGTTAAACTATTTGAAGGTGCTTATCTTTTATTCTCAGTTTAATGGGGAAATATTTCAAGCAGAGGACACATATGATCTACTTCACAGAAAGTACCAACCTCATGGTATGATCTTTTAATCTGAGTTCCCATCAAGAAAACAAGTCAGATTATCAACACCCTCTTTCCATGATAGGGGTGTGTGTGTGTGTTTATGTGGGAAGGGGAGGTGATAGTTAAAAAAGAGTATGTGTAGTTAAGGAATTTTGAGTACATTTTATCCTCTACACTGGATAAATATATAATAAAGATAACCGTGGGATTCTATTATCAAACAACAAAGACTCCTTAATTATATTGGGAAGATCAAGGAAGACACAATAAAGAACTGTGCACTAATTCTGGAAACGAGAGGAAATATGGTCCCTTGGGGAAGTTGAAGTTGACTGAACATAAAATTTGAAAGAAGCATGCACAAGAGATGTGAAATAAGAATGGCTAGGCACGTGCTTAGGGGCTGATGCTGACTTGAAAGTTCAAGTGATCTAGTGAAGAACTTTTAGCACTAGAACAACATGGCCATATTTGCATATTATAAAATTGTGCTGGCAGGAATATCGAAACTAGATTTATAAGGGAAACCACTTAAGAGACTATTATAATAATCTGCATACAAGAAGATATATTCCAAAAGGAAGGAGGAGTAGTGAACGTAGAGGAAAGAGAATGGAAGCTAAAGAATTTTAAGCAAGTAAAATCAATGTTACTTGATGATTGACTATCACAGCAAATGAGGAGAAGATGTAGTAAGAAATCAAAGGTGAACATCATGGCTTTGGCTCAAGCAACTAAGTGAAGGATACCTTTTAAGACAGAGAAAAGAGAACAAATTGTTCTGGAAGGACATGCCAATGAATTTGTTTTGGAAATAATCTCTGGGCTATCCAGATGAAGAAGAACAGTAATTGTGCCTATAGATTTGAAAATCAAACTAGAAACTTTGGCAGGATATGTTGAGACTTACATATTATAGTTTAAGCCAACAGATTAAATGAGATCACCTGGAAAATGCCTAAGAAGGGTACTAAAAATGGAACCACAAGGAATACCAACATGTAATATAAATAGAGAAATAATAGTTTATTTATGAAAGCAAGAAAAATCTTCCAGGAACCAAAAAAGGTAAGTTTCATGCAACCAACAGAGGAAAGAGGATCCAGGAGAGAGTAATCAGTCCAAATGCTAAAAGAATGTCAAATTTGATAAGGATCAAATTTGATCAAATGTCAAATTTGATAAGGTTTAACCACTTACTGGTTAGCTATTTGGTATGGAACTTCTGGAGGTGGAGGGGTGAATAGAAAGTGAGAAGGTAAACACAAGGGAAAATAATATTGTAAAGAAACAAGAAATTTGGCTTTGAAGTAAAGGACAGAGAAGGGATGGCAGCTGATTCTCAGTTTTTGTTCTGTTTTGTTTTGTTTTTTTTACAGAATCTACATCTATGTTCTTCACTATTTAGCCTGAAATATGGCTGACAAATGGTAGATGACTACAAAAATTGTAGATGTTCTACAATTTAGGTCCAATAAAAGAAATAATTGAATGGAAGTTTAGGAATGTTTTATTTTTATTTTTGCTCCTTTTTGTGTTTATATTTGTTTGTAAAATAGAATATTCTGGATGATACATTTATTCTGAAGGAACAGAGAAAAAGATTGAAGATAGAAGCAAAATTAGGGATTGCTGGGGTGAGTTACTGGAGAAAACTGGAGTGGATGGAGTCTAAAGCACAGGGAAATAATTTTCCTCATCAAACGGAGGTATCTTCTTTCTCTTTATGGTAGAGAAGCAGGAAAACTGTACAGGTTTGGAAAAGGCTTCTGAAAATGAGTGTGAAGATTTAATCTGTTTTACCAATATTTATCAAGTGCCTACTGATTACCAGCCACTATGGCAGGTGCTGGGAATACAATAGTGAGCAAAACTAGATATGGCTCCTTCCCTCAGGTTGCTCAGGGTTTGCAGGAGGTGAGACAAGCATTAATCAAATAACCACATATTCATTATCATATAATAGGAATAAGCAGTACTAAGAAGAGAAGTACATTTTTCCAAAAGAGTGCATAAAATACTTAAATCACAGAGATCAGTGAAAGGAAGATGTGATTGAGTCAATAGTTGAAGAGTAAACAGAGTCATTTAGGAAGAAATGATAGGAAGGATATGCCAGACAGGGGAGTGGCCTTTGGGACAGTGTGGTACTTCAAAAATGTTGAGAATTTTTGAACTTTGAATTCTGTATACCTTACAAACTCACTTTAGCAGCGGGGTGAATGGATGCTTATGTTGCCCGGACTATGGAAACAGAACTGCTTATCTGGAAATTTTATCTTTGCATCTGCACTTCTACCTCCCAAATTGCTCAAAGAAATGTAAGCATGGGAAGAAGAATAGGGTGAGTTTTAATGGGAAATGCACTAAAGGACCCTCAAGGATTAATTTCCAATGACACACTCTTCCAAAGGGCTAAACTACTGTATGTATTAGTTATATAAATTCATTATATATTATTTTTGGGGGCTGCCTTCAGTAATAACTACCTCACTACAAGCCATTTAAACTGTGTTTACAAGATAATACAAAATACACGGACTTTTAAAAACAAGAAAATTCACACATTAATGCACATTAATATAATGTTTGCCAGCATATTCTATTACCCTGGATTCTTCCATTGATAAAACTAAACAAAAAAGCATAAAGCCTCTAGAGATATGAGGAATTGTTTTAATTAGGTATCATTTTTAGCAAGTATTTTTATGGGTCTTCACTCCTGATATAAATTCTGAAGTTTACATAAGCAGCTGCATCTTTATTCTTCACCTGTGTGATTTTGATCAATGAAATGATATTTTCAGCAGTAGAAATTTAAATCTTGGCTCTGGCCCATGAATTAGCTAATTGAGGGAATTCCAGTTGTAGATTTATTACAGCCATTGCAAAGGAGAAAAGCATATTGCTAATAAACAGCAGTCAGCCACATGTTTTAGACCAAGTGAGGACATCACTCACTCTGAGAGTTTTTAAAATTTGAATTAGCTGCATTTTATTCACCCACTTTGGCAGGCTTTTTTTTTTTTTTTTTTTTTTAGAAAACATTTGTCACAATATTCATATACATAAGCACTATTGCTTCTCTTTGTCAAAGGAGCCAATCCAACACTCACATTGATCCTAGTCTCCCTCCTCCACCCCAACACTTGTTACTGAACCCAAATCTGATTCTAAATAAAGCAGTTTGGGGGTGACAACCTGATTGTGGAAGCATTTTCCAATAGGGGTGAGCTAACGAGACTTAAAACTTGTACTAAATTTAGGAAGCCAGACCCAAATCTGAACTAGAAATATCACAGCATTAAATTTTCCCAAGGGGGGTTCTCTGGAGCCCATATTTGTGCCATATTCATATATATATATATATATATATATATATATAATTTTTTTTTTGAGACAGAGTCTCACTCTGTCACCCAGGCTGGAGTGCTGACATGATCAAGCTCACTGCAACCTCTGCCTCCCAGGTTCAAGCGATTCTCCTTCCTCAGCCTCACAAGTAACTGGGATTACAAGCACGCACCACCTTGCCTGGCTAATTTTTTGTATTTTTAGTGGAGATGGGGTTTCACCATGTTGGCCAGGCTGGTCTTGAACTCCTCATCCCAAGTGATCTACTCATCTTGACCTCCCAAAATGCTGGGATTACAGGTGTGAGCCACCATGCCTGGCCCAAAATACTTTTAATTAAACTTTAATGAAACTAAATTTATGACCACAGCCTTTCATAACAGAGATATACACTTCACTGCAATCTCAAGCTGAGCTGAAACTTAGATGAGACTGCCAAATAAATCACCACATATCTTACAGTTAAAGAAAGCTAGATGGAATAAATAACCAAAAATTACAGTTGTCTTAAAATGGAGTAATCAGCCTTGAGAAATTAGTAGCTTTCTGTCACTGAAAGCATTTGAACGAAGGCCAGATAGCCACTAACCAGTAATGTTATAGAGTATATCATGTGTTAAGAGGATTGTTTAAAGTATGCCCTCTGGTGTTACTGTTAATACTCAGGGGCTATAATTCCAAGAAAATGATGAATGAAAAATATTATCTGACAGGATTATTTGAAATCACTTATATATTTTTAAATGAGATAACATATCATTCAGGGCTCTTGGCCATAAGTAACAGCTACAATTTTAGATAACATAAAGAAATTAGTTATTTAGTGGCTCATAGATTAGAATCAGGCGAGATAAATTTGGGGAAATGGGTGAATAAGAAGCCTAGGCAATGACAACGATAGCTAAGTCCAGGCTAAAGGACTAGACTGATTAGAATGCTGTTTGGTACCATGGCCATCTATGCTGCTGAACACAGCTGTGACTGAATACTTAAAACCAAGACCATAGGTCAATCCTTTTTTTGATGCACATCTTGCAAGATTCTGTGAAGCCCTCGCAAAGACAATCTATCCCTTCCTCTTTGCATCACTTTCTCCAGAGTTTAAGCATTAAGGGATAGAAAGAGAGAGAAACAATTTGTCTCCCTTCACCTTCACAGTGAGGATGAGGGTCTTACTTTCCACTTAGATACAATGAGGTATTCCTCCAAAATGAGAAGTGAGTTCAGATGCTGATCTGTCAAGAAAAAGGAAAAATGTCTACGCCAGTGCTTTTATTAAATTTTTAAAAGATGTTGTGTCTTTTTAATGTTGATGAGTCCTTAGTCTATTGGGGGTGGGGGAGTTGGATTTGTAATTTTTGTGTTTTGCCTTACTTGTAAACTTTCTGATTTCCTATCTCCTGGCAGTATTTCCCAGAGCCATACCCTAGTTTCTCAGTAGAATACACGAGTAAATGACAATTTGTCATGGCCTATTCTATACTTTTATTTTCTCTGAATAGAACAAAGTAATCCATTTTGAGGAAATAGATGTCTCTTCCCAAGTCATAGTTTCCAATTAGATGTTTCCTAGGAAATGCCAGGATTGCTTATGGCCTGTTGTTAATAATCTGAAACTGCCTATTCTGTTAAATGTTAACTGTGGTATGGAAATGTGATGGTATCTGCATTAGAGTCCACTAATCAAAATAATTATACCCACTGGGCACATTTCACATGCCTTCACTTGAATAGGATCAAGTATCATTTAATAAGAACCCTTAGTATAAAGCTGCATTCTCAAGAGGCTCCCTTTCCTTCAAACTGGATGAGCTCAGCATCTTTTACAGAGGGAGTGTTTGTATAGATGTGAAGGCCTCTATTTTGAAATACTGGGATATATGTTAGCACTACAGGACTCCTCTCCCTCCTATGATCCCACAGTGACATGAACACAACAGAGACTAGTATACTTGCCTGATTCTTTGGAGTCTTACTGAAAAGGTAATGAATAAAATTCAGGCCAAATCCAGTTAACTCATCCTCATACAACAGCATCCATACTTCTAAACCGATCATTGGAGTAGCCTTTATTCCTTGAGAGAAATATTATGAAGAAAAGAGACTGATGGAGCAAGTTTTACCCATAATTTAGAGGTGCATTTCTTTGGGACTTTCTCACCCAGTGATATTTTCTTCTTTGTTTTCCTACTATCTTGTGACGCAAAGCACATACTAATGAACACTGGAAGTATCCTGGCAATCCCTTCACCCTGGTAGTAAGATTATTAGTATGATTTATACTATCTCTTCCTCAACAACCAGCATCTATCACTTTACAAATTAGATAAATATCAACATGATTACTACACATGAAGTAGAGAAAAAGTAAATAATCCTTGCACTACCTTCCAGTTTCACCAAGCTCACTGGAGGAAACTATGAACGTACTCAAGAATAGAAAGAATGCCAAATGTCACTAGATGATACTGTTTATGACTTTCAATATTCAGGATACTCAAAATTTAAGGAACACTGTACAGGGGGACCATCAAAAGGGGGATATGGACAAAGATGGACTGCCTCAACTGTAAAATTAGTAAAGCCTAACTGTTACCTACTTTTTGAACATTAAGACAGACAATTTTGTAAATGTACGTCACTGTCTTCAACAAATAGCACATGGCTTAAGAGGGTCACAGTTTCAAACAACATCTGATACTTTCTACTATATGTGGGTGTTAGCCCAGGTCCTCTGAGAAGCAGATAACCAGATGGCGTTAAATGTGCAAGGATTTTATGAGAACAGATGCCTATATGAGAGAAAAATTGGGCAGGAGTCAGAAAGGCTGGGTAAGCAGTCAGACCACAGTGCAGGTCTGTCCTGCAGTGAAGGACAGATAGGGGACAGAATGGAAGGAAGCACCTCAGAATCTATAGGCTAAGGGAATTCAGCAGGCCTCTTAGGGAGACCTGGAGTTCAGCAGGCCTCTTGGGGAGACCTGGAGCCAGTGTTCTGTCCCAAGAATGTGCCTGCCTTAATATACTCACCATGCTCAGTAACTGTGGGAAGAAGCCTAGGAATAGTGACGGATTTCAGAACACAGAAACTGGGGCTTTCTTTCATATATGTCTTCCAAAGCTTCACCCATAGAATAAAAAGATTTTTCTGTCATTGAAAAGGGTCAAAGATAAACTTCTGCAGACTCTCTCCTTATATCATGCAGTCTTGGTGTAGAAGTCGGCACCAGACCTGGGTAACTGCTAAGAGTTCTGTCACACTACCTGCATCATTGCCCTAGTTTTGTAAGTAGAGTCACCTCAAGACATGTTTTAACTTTCACTTTCTTTCACCTACATACTCCTAAACTGTCTGCAATAATACTTCTACTTTCAACTTCCCACTTATTTGGAACTTTTCATCACCTATCTCATTACTAAATGCAATGCTATTTTTTAAAGACGGAATCATTCTAGTGGACTTTTGCTGGCAGTGTCTGACTTCTGCTCACTCCCCTGAAATGCTCCTCTCTTGACTTCTGTGGCCCAGTGTTGCTTTAATTCTCTACATCTGTAATTACACCTTGTAGGCCTTTTTTATTCTGTCCTTTCACTTCTCCCAACCTTAAATGTTGACCTTTACCAAGTTTCTGTCCTTAGACTGCTTGTCTCTAAATATGTTTTTCACTTACAGCACCAATTACTTTCCAGAATTCTAACTCCTGAACATGTCTACATGTTCTACATCTGAACTATTTTTGTAGCACCTGATATGCCTTTCCATGTATTTTCTGGACTTTTTTCCATGGAGGTTTTGAAGGCATAGAACATGTTCAAAATCAAATGATTTCTTCTCTACTTTCTTATTTTAGGTAATGACACCATCCATAAGTTGATTCTACCATGTGGAACTAGTAAAGAACCCCATTGTAAGTTGAGGAGCATTTCTAATACAAATTACCCTACATGTTAGTCAACAGATAAAGAAAACAATATACTTACGTCTCATATTTTAAAAGTTAATATTTTTTCCAAAATAAATTACTTAAGTAAATTAACTATATATAAAATAGAAAATTTGGAAACTTACACAATATAGCATATGCTATTGGGCTGTTTTTAATCTTTCAATATTTTATATTACTCTCAGTTAATATGCATATATGTAAATGTTTACCCTTCTACCTCCACATATCCAACTAGGTGAAAACCTAGCAGAGGAATCAATGGATCGTAATAAATATTTTGCCAAAATACTTTGTTAAAACAATACAACTAATACCTTCCAGAAATAACGTATACAAGTTTTCACTTTTCAATATAATGATGCAATAAATATGTTTATATAATTTCTGCAATTCATATGTAATTCCATTTGGTAAATGCTTAAAAGTGAATAAACTGGGATGTTGTTTTCTACAAGGTCCTATAGAAACTGCATAAAACTATAAAACTGGGAGTTACTATTATGATTTTTAATAATCATAGTCATTTTTATAACCAACTGGTATTTTATGATTATCTTAATTTTGTTTTTATTGTTACTCATAAAATTGAGCATTTTTAATGTATGTGTGTTTTATTCTATTTTGTTTTTGGCGTTCATGTACCTAGAGGCTCAGCTCTTGGTTATTCTTCTTGTCTCTGTCTTCAGTCATTCCCATGGTAGTCTCATTCAGTCTCATGGCTTTAAATATCATCTGTATGTCCATAACTCCCAAATTCATATTTTCAATTCAGATCTCTCTTCACAATTTTGTCTACTCAACATCTCCATATAGATGTTTAATAAAAATATCAAATTTAACATTTTCAAAACTAAACACTCAATCTTCTCTCCAATATATTTCTCCCACTATTTCCATTATCTTCATTGATGACAACTTCATCTTTCCAGGTACACAACCAAAAGCCTCAGTGTTATCACTGATCCCTTTTCTTTATTCCATAGCCTATCAATCAGTAAATCCCACTGATTCTACCTTCAAGATATAGCAAAATTCTGACTACATTTTATCTCTTCGACTGCAGTAGTTTGGATGTTTTATCTCTCCAGATCTCATGTTGAAAGTTAATCCCCAATGTGGCCGCACTGGGTGGTGGGGCAGTCTTCAGGTCCTGGGGTGGATCCCTCATGAATAGATTAATGATCTACCTGGTTAAGGGTGGTGAGTGAGTTCTTACTCTGATAGTCCTAGCAAGAGCTGCATTGTTAAAAAAAAAAAAAAAAAAAAAAAAAAGCCCGGCATCTCCCTTTCCTCTCTCTCTTGCTTTCTATCTCACAATGTGATCCCTGTACTTGCCACCTCCCCTTCACCTTCTACAATGAGTAGAAGCAGCCTGAAGCCCTCATCGGGACCAGATGTTGGAGACAAACTTTTTGTACAGCCTGAAGAAACATAAGTCAAATAAACCTCTTTTCTTTATAAATTACCCAGCCTTGGGTATTCTTTTATAGCAACACAAATGGATTAAGACATTGACTATTATACCTTAGTCTGAGAACATGGATTTCTGAAAGAGCCTCCTACTAGTCTCCTTGCTTTCCACTTCGTCCTATTAATCTGCCCTCAGCATAGTAGGCAGATATGTCCTTATAAGACCGAAGTAAGATTATGCCATTGTTCAAAACCCTTCATGGCTCTCCACTTCACTCTGAGTAAAAGCAAAGACCTTTAATATATTACAAGCCTGTATGATCTGCCCCATTTCCTCTCTGATCTCATTCTTACCAATTTCCAGTCTACTCTAGCATTGTGGCTTGCTCTAATGACCTAGGCCTATTCTTGCTTTGGAGACTTTGCACTGGCTGTTTTCTTTTCATGGAAAGTATATATTTTATTCATTTGCTTGATTTATTTATCTCCTTTAAATATTTTCTCAAATATCACTGTGGTAAAATACTTACGTAAATGGCCCCCAATGTTTTGTCCCTTCGTGTACCCACACTCTCTGCTTTGTGACTTTTTAGCTCCTCTAACAAGATAGTTTATTTCTCTAACCTTCAAATTTGAATTCACCTTGTGACTTTTTTTGCCCAATAAAATGTGGCAGAATGATGATGTTCTGGTTGCCAGCCTAGATCTCAAGATTGCTTGTGTTTCCCCTTACTCCCTCACTATCCTGTGCCTTCACTAGAAGAATATACCATAACTAGCTTGCTGAAGGTGAAATACATGGAGCAGAGTCAAAACATTTCATGAGTTCCAACCAAGGGCATCAAGATATGCCAATCCACAATCAAATATTACACGGGTGAGAGAGCCTCATTAGGACAAGAAAGAGTGCCTAGACAAACCCAGCCTAAATTTTTGACCTACACAGTAAGTTAAATAAACTTTTATTGGTGTATGTTAGTGAAGTTGGTGGTTGTTTGTTCTCAGTATCATCATAGCAATAGATAACTTAGTACCTCTACTTGTGGTGCTACTATAAAAAAATAAAATATATGTTATTGACTTTGGTATCAGTCAGAGGACAGAGCTAGGAAATGATAAAGAAGATGAAGATATGACAAGAATACTGTTATAGAAGGCTGAAAAAGTAGTAACCCAGGTCTTACACTGCCAAAACAATTTCAAAATTATCAAAGTCAATAACTTGAAATATAGAAAATGTACCTAATGAACTTTCGTACTTGTCCAAAGTTATATCCAGGCATAATTTTGGAAGCATGTGCTGAGATTTTTTTCTACAGCAAAAGTTAAGGTATCATATGAAGCAGATGAACTCAGACAATAACTGATCAATTTGCAGAGAAAAGTATGGAGATAATAGGGAGGCCAGAACTTCCTGAGCTGGGAAACTAAACTATAGTCACACATTGCTTAACGACACAAGCACATCTCAGAAATTTGTCATCAGGGGATTTCATCATGGTAGGAACATCCTACTTCCAGAAACCTAGATGGTATTGCCTACTACACACCTATGCTATGTGAAATAGCCTATTGCTCCTAGGCTACAAACCTGTACAGCATGTTACTGTACCAAATACTGTAGGCAATTATGACACAATGGTAGGTATTTCTTTATCTAAACATATGTGAACATAGAAAAGTACAGTAAAACTATGGTGTTATAATCTTGTGAGACTACCATTGTATATGTGGTCCATTGTTGATTGAAACATTATGGAACACATAACTGCACTTCTTAATTTGAACCTCTTCAGCCAAGAAAAATTATTTAAGTAAGACATGACTTCAGGGCACAGACAAAATCAAACGTGTAGCTATAGTTTCCTTTGTAATACCTCTAAAAGAATTAAGAGGTATTACAGGAAGCCTTTCAACCAGATAAAACAACTTCCGGTTGTTATAAGGGCATTTTCTTACAGCCCAACTAGAAATGATTCAGACAAGAGAAATTATTTGAAAGAAATGTGAGCATAGCATTTGAAACATGGAAAAGAATAATTTCAAATACAGTACATAAAAAATCCAGAACGTTTTACGAGAGCCATATTGGCAAAAGCACTGCCAGTGTGCACAAAAATGTTGTGAGACTGAGAAAGAAAGAGACCCTGGACCCCCAACTTTCTATAGGCTGAAACAGATGTTCAGTATCAGGACAATTTCTTAAAAAGTGCCCAGCATGGGTGGAAAAGAAAGGACATCTCAGAAGGAAAAGCCAAAAGTAATTGAGAACAATAAACAGATAATTCATTTTTAAGGAGCAGAACAAGACTCAAATAAAATAATATTCCCCCAAAACAGGGGAGAACCTGGAACTTCACCTCAATAAAATTTCAGAATTTCTATGGACCAGGGACTGCTATGTGCTTCTCGTTCTTTTCCTTTTCATAAATAATTTTCCCTGTTTTATCATTGTATGTTGAGCGCTTCAGAGGCACACATCTTTTTCTTGTTGTTACAGTCATACTTCCTTATCCATGGAAGATATGTCCCAAGACCCCAAATGAACGCCTAAAACCATGAATAGAACCAAATCCTACACATATTGTGATTTTTCAGTTTGATAACAAAAGCAGCTACTAAGTGACCTATAGGCAAGCAGAGTGTACCTTATGAATATGCTAGACAAAGTGATGATTCATGTCCCAGGTGCAACACAGTGGGCTGGTGAGAGATTTCATCACACTACTTAGAACGTAGTATGATTTAAAACTCATGCATTGTTTATTTTTGAAAGTTTTCATTTAATATTTTCGGATCACAGTTGACCATGAGAAACTGAAACTGTAGAAAGCAAAGCAACAGAGGAGGAGGAACTACCGTGCAGGTTTCTGGAACAAGAGGGGCCACATCCAGACCAATAGAAATCACAAGATCTTAGACTCTGAATTTGATGCTGAGATTGGATGTGATTGTTGATAGTCATGTATCTTAGTCTGTTTGGGCTGTTATAACAAAATACTATATACTGCGTAGCTTATTAACAACAGAAATTTATTTCTCACAGTCCTGAAAGCTAGAACATCCAAGATCAAGGAGTCAGTGGATTTAGTGTCTGGTGAGGGTCCACCTTCTGGTTCACAGATAGCACCTTCTAGATATGTCTTCACATTGTGGAAGGGGTGCAAGAGCTCCTTTGGGCCTATTTTATGTGGGCAGTGGTGCCATTCATGAGTGCGGCACTAACCATCTCCCAAAAGGCCCCACCTCCTAATACTATCATCTTGGAGGTTAGGATTTCAACATATGAATTTTGGTGGGAACACAAACATTCATATCATATCATCATCAGATGGGAAGAACATATTTTTTATGTGGAAGGGATGTGAATAATTATACACTCCATGAGGGCAGACCATGATAGGTTGATTTTATTAGTAATTCCACTTCTCCCCATCTCTGTATGCACATGTTTACCAAGTAACTTTGTAGGTCTTCTAACTAAAAAGGTACAGTCGATTTCCTTATGCTTTGAATGTGGGTTGGCTTTGTGATTTGTTTTGGTTAATAGAATGTGGCAGAGACCCTAATGTGACTGACCAAAAGAACTTCCCAATATAGATCACTGATTCATAGACATATCAGTTAAATGAATGTTTATTGTTACAAAACAAAAAGGTCTTGTCAACATATGTCCTGAGCTACTTTTTTTTTTCTTAATACTTATCATCTTCTAACCTTATACACAATTGATTATCATTGTATCTCAGGTATGTAAGCTGGGCAAGGCATCTAATAAAATCTCTATGTTTATAAGATTAATTTAAGTTCATTTAATTAATTGAATTAAACTAGAGAGAATATCTGAGATAGATGGTCCTATTTTAGATAAATGCTTATGCAAACATTGAGTCATGGATTTGTTGCCCATTACATCTTCACATTGGACAGAGTACCCTGTAGAAGAGGTAGAAGCAGAAACAGGCATTGAGCATTACATCATCAGGATCAAATTAATCAGAATCATCTCATGCAGTGATTATCTCACTGGCATTAAACTGGTCTCCTTTTTCAGATTTGATACCTCAACTTTGAAGACCCTTCCTAGATAGTTCCGCTTAATGGTATGAGGGAAATCCTTCACTGTTAGCAATAATAACCTTGAGTTCCAGCTGACAAACCAACTCTATCTGTCCCACCTTCTAAGATCGCTCTCTTTCTATGTTGCAAACTATAATAACTATAACTATTTAATGAATGAGATATTTTAACATTGACTCTCAAATAATTATTAATTAACTAAAATCAATATTAATTCATATGTGCTTGGATTGAATTCTTTTCTATTTGTTTTAATAACTCACATTGAATATCACCATTGTCCATATTTGTTTTGCTTTCCACAGCTTAGAAGACACTTTATATAATATAAAATAGCAGAAAAATAAACCATATAACAGTAACTGCCTTTATTTTCCATACTTCCTTAGCATCTTAGGAATAAGTCATGCATGTTATTAAAATATGAACCCAAGTTAATTAACAAAAATATTCCAAAATTATAATCTTTTCTGTTGCATCTGCAGCTAATTGTAATCTGCCAATAATCACACAGAAAGAAAAGACAAATCACAATAAATCTAAGTAGAAAGGTACAAGTAAATTGGACCATGAAAATGACATGTTTCTGTTTAAATGTCTTCCACAAATCCCAGAGAGATATGCTTGGACTTAGTCTAATTGGGTTTGCTACTTCCTCACAGTTTAATGCCTGAATAACTTCAATCGCATATGATGCTACTTATGCCAGCTAAACAAATTAATTAATTAAGCTATTAGAATATATAGATCATATGAACTAGAAATCATCTGGCAATGTTAGTTTTATACTTGACCTAGTAAAGATTTTTTGGTTACCATTTTCAATTGTTACTGATGAAGTGAAACTAGAAATTGGGATACAGTTTAAACATTGAAATGGATGATCCAGAAATAGTCTCTTATCACCCTACTATGGTAGTTTATTTTTTTATTTTTTTTTTTATTTCTATGTTTGCTATGCTTCCGCAGTGTTCTTGGCTGAACTACCCTCCAAAATTTTTATACGTTGGAGTCTTAATCTCCAGTACTCCAGAATGTGGCTGTGTTTAGAAATTTGGTCTTCAAAAAAGGAAATTCAGTTAACATCAGGTCACATGCATGGGCCCTAATCACATAAGATTGGTGTCTTTATAAGAAGAGGTCAAAATGCAGATGCACATAGAGGGAGAACAATGTAAAAACACAGGGAGAAAACAACTACCTACAAGCCAAGGAGAGACACTTTAGAAGACATCAACCTTCCCATCACCTTGATCTTACACTTCTAGATTCCAGAATTGTGAATAAAATACTCATTGTTGAAGCCATCCAGTCTGTGGTACTTTGTTATGGCAAATGTAGGAAACTAATACAAACATTTGTGAAACATATTTTTCATGATAGTCCTTAAAAATCTTAAATCAAAATTTTGGTGTTCTGGAAAATAGACTTTGTTTATATTCAGATACCTCAGTAAGACAAGATATATAATGCTTTCATTTTAGGAAAAACTACCCTAAAATATGTCACTGAGACCGATTTGAGGCATAAGGCAGAAATTCTTGGTTTCTTACCAGTGACCATGCTTTCTGCCTTCTTTACATAGAACTTCAATTGTTCCCAGAGAAGTAGTATAACTCTGTTGTAGCTATTAATGAACATGTGATCCAGTTTGGAGAAATGAGACTAAAGAGTAAATCTACTGGGTGTATCCTACAGGAAGGTTTTGTTGTTGTTGTTG
Source organism: Homo sapiens (assembly GCF_000001405.40). NCBI lineage: Eukaryota > Metazoa > Chordata > Mammalia > Primates > Hominidae > Homo > Homo sapiens. The sequence continues at coordinate 57,579,020 of NC_000002.12, forward strand.
TTGTTGTTGTTGTTTTTTAATACTATAAAAAGAGTAGGCTCAGCTGGCAGGTACCTTTGCTAGTACCTCTTTTTTTCCTGCCTAGAATATGAACAATATCTAAAGGCAGATAAGCCGTTTCGAAACCATGAAAAAATAAATATCATATGAAAAGCATAATGTCGTAGAAATTTTAAAGGGTCTTGGACTTTCCCTAAGAACTAATTTCCTCTGGCTTTCTCATAATGTGAGAAAAATGAGCCCCTATTTACTGAAGCTATTTTAGTTGGGTTTCTGGTACATCTACTCAAACATAATTCAAAGTGATACAAAGAGTTTTACTGATACAAAGGGTTTGTAAAGGTGCTTCCATTACAGGCCACTGTAATGGAACTTAAAGCACAAATTCTGTTTAGCTATGTTGGTTAAAGCATTAAGCTACTGGTGTTGCATGAAATTGAATCTTTAAAAAAATAGCATCATGCTGAGAAATGTTATGCAAAATAGAAATTATAGATTAACTCTTGTTATCCTTTCTTGTAATTGTTCACAAGGGGACTAAATATCAGGGAGTGAATGCTCAGTGAATATCCATAAATGGGTAAAGGTGTAAGTGCATTGTATTAATAATTCTGTGGCAATAGCACTTCTTTAAAGGAAAATTACGATGGCACATACTCTGTAGCCAATACCATTTTGTTCACAGAAAACAGAGTTCAGAAAATACAGATTGACTATCCCAAGTCCTGAAATCTGAAATCCCAAATGCTCCAAAATTCAAAACTTTTTCAGTGCTGATATGATGCTCAAAGGAAATCCTCACTGGAGGATTTTAGATTTCAGAGTTTCAGATTTGAGATGCTCAACTGATAAGTAATGCAAATATTCTGAAATCCTAAAAAATTAAAAATCCAAAATATTTCTTGTCCCAAGCATTTCAGACAAGGAACACTCAACCTGTATAGGAAAATATGATAAAACCTAATTGATATATCACATTTCATACTTTAAAATAATTTATATTAATTTGCTAATGTAAAAATTTAGTTTCCCGCAAGTGGTAGTAATTTCCATTCAATTCTCATTTGCATTGTTGAATATTAAATATGTGTGTGTACATGTGTTTATCTAAAAATATAAACTATATGTGGGTCTGCGTATGTATAATATTCTTACATATAGGGGTAGAGAAGAATTGCATTGGAAGAAAAGGAACAAAAATTATACTGCTCTGAATATACCACATTTGATATATTTTAATCTATATAAATGTGTTATATAGTTATAATACAAAATTAATTTTCAGAGAAGCAATTTCTAAATATCTGAAGTAAAATAATTCATATAAGCTTAACTTCATACTAACTTGGTAGTGTAATCATGCAGAGAGGAAATTTCCAGGTGACTATAAAACACAGTACTTTAACTGAATACCTTTAATGAGGTATTTCTGAAGCACAAATATAATGTTATCTTAAAATCTGAAATTGCTTTTAGTACTTAAAATGTTGGTGAGAATATTAATATTATTATACTGAATTTGTGGTGTGTGTTTTATGGAAAAAAGTGAATGAATAATTATTTTAGTAACAATGAAATACAAATGAAAAAGACAAGATCAAAGCAGTTAAGTAATTGCCCTACAGAACTGAGTTTAAATTATTTATACAAAATATAATAATTATTTGAATTACTTAATTACTCATTATATAAGTATATCTTATGGTATATTTCATCTTTACAGAATAAATAAATACTCCTTAGGTCTGAATACTAGTCCTAGAAATAAAAACGAATCCATGAGAAACAAACAGTCCTAGTGCTCAAATTATAACCTCTAAATGCCCTATCCCACAAAATGGAAGGGCTTTTTGAAAGACAGGTATGGCACCAGACATTTGTGAGTCTGAAAAATTATTTCATACTAGACAGTATGGAAACTAACAAAGACTATCAGTGGCATGTCAATAGGATCCAGGAGAAAGCTTAAAGAGCTTTTTACTGGATAAAAATCAAATAATGTAAGCATGAATAAACATACTAACTGCAATATTTTGAAACGTATCAAATATATTAAAATATCAGCCATTCATTTGGAAAAATAGTCATCATCTTTAGAAGATTCTAAAGAAACAAATCATTTCTTTGAATTTATTTTTAATATTTATTATTTTAATTAATACATAAAATTGTATATATTTATCAAGTACAACATGCTGTTTTGAAATATGTGTGTATTATGGAATGGCTAAATCAAGCTATTTAACATATACATTACTTTATATACTTAGCATTTTTTTAGTGAGAACTTTAAAACTTTTTCTCAACAATATATTGTTATTAATTACAGTCACCATGTTTTACAATAGATCTGTTGAACTTATTCATCTTAACTGAAATTTTGTATCTTTTAGCTAACATCTTCCCAATCTCTTCTGCCAAAACAAAGCATTTTTTAAAACTGGCAAATAAGAGAATATGTAAAATGTGTATCTCATCTTTCCTATATAACCTCCATCACCTTTATTCCAGGTTCTTCAAGTGTTAAAGGCAGACCTAGTTGCATAATGGGTTTAACCAATTCTAGCCCACTACTGAAAAACAATTTTATAAATACTGAAATTAATGCTGTAATGATTATTCCTATAAATACTTCTTTTCATACATTTTATACACTTCATTCAGGATAAACTTCTGAAAACAGAATTGTAAAGTGAAGGGCTATAGACATAATAAATTTGATAGATAACATTAAACTGTCTTACAAGGAAGTGTGTCATTCTCTTTTCTAACCAACAGTGTATGAAATTCTGCATTTTCTTAGACTGCATCAATGTTGTATATTTCTGTTTCAGTTTTTCCAATCTTACTTATAGAATTAAACATCTATTTCATTATGTCTTATAAGCATGTTTTAAATTATGAGTGATACTGACATATTTCCATGTTTATAATTAATTTATTTTGCTTTTTTTAAATTTTTTTTTAAAAATTAAAATGTGTTTTCTGTTGTATTCCTCTTTTAAAAAGTTGCGCCTCCTTTTGTTTGTTGGTTCTTTTTTTTTTTTTTTTTTTTGAGATGGGGTCTCGCTCTGTCACCCAGGCTGGAGTGCAGTGGCACGATCTCGGCTCACTGCAAGCTCCGCCTTCTGGGTTCACACCATTCTCCTGCCTCAGCCTCCCGAGTAGCTGGGGCTACAGGCATCTGCCACCGCACCCAGCTAATTTTTTTTTTTTTTTTGTATTTTTAGTAGAGACGGGGTTTCACCGTGGTCTCGAACTCCTGACCTTGTGATTTGCCCGCCTCTGCCTCCCAAAGTGCTGGGATTACAGGCGTGAGCCACTGCGCCCGGCCTGTTTGTTGGTTCTTTTATTGTTTATTTTTCTGAATGCTCTCTATACATTATGAAATTAGCCCTGTTCCATATTTTTGCAGTAATATTTCCAAGGGCATTAATTTTTTCATTATTTATTTCTTCCCACAAAAAAATTCTTAAAAATTTACAATTATCACTTTATAAATCTTGTTTTTTGTTATTTAAATCATGTTAAGAAAGTATCTATTTACTTCTAAAGTGATAGGATCTGCTAAAGCAACAGAGGAATTTGTAGAAAACATAATACAAAGAGAAACCTATACATGCATTTATACTAGATTTCTAAAATACAATTATATTTAGAAAAAATGTTTTTCAGAAAAAGGAGGTAATCATAATTGAATGACTGTAAATTCAACACTAAAATTGCTCTAATAAGCAAGATATGAAGAAAGGTTTTGCATGGCTGGCTAACAGACATAAGATAAAGAAGAAGAAGACATGAAGTGTTCAAATAAGCTAACATTCAATCTAGAATTTAACCAAATGGAATAAATTTCCCACAAAGATTAAACTGCTCCGGTTCTGTGCAGGGCAACCTGATAGTGTGGTTAAAAATTGCAATGAGATTAATAGGGCAGAGGAAGAGTTTATAAAGCACAGTTGAAACCGCCTCAGAGACAGTGTTGGGGGAATAGTTTTGGGAAGTTTGAGACACGCATTCAAGGGTAAAGTCAGAATGTGCTCTTGGGTTGTAAACAAGAAATAACATACCAAGTCCACACACTGGGGCGCTTCTTAGGGAGTACAAAATTCCTGAATTCATCCACTCCATGATTTTTTGCCAAGATATTATTTGAAAGTCATTCATTCATTTAATCAACAGAAAGCCTAGTATATGCCAGGAATTATTACTTAACTGGTGAAGGTACAGGAGTGAATAAGACAAGTAAGGTCCTTGCTTTCATAAAATTTACATTTTAATCGACTGAGACAGGAAACTACAATTAAATTCCTAAGCAAACAAGGCAAGTTTGAGTTGTGATCAAAGTGGTGAAGATGGTAGATACAATAATATGAGTACTTGTCATGGCTGGGGTGATTAAAGAATCCCCTCAGAAGAAATAGCACTTGAACTGAACATGGAGTCATATGTGACCATGCAGATAAAGCTGGAATAGTGCTGCAAGAGGAGAGAATAGCAAGGCCTTTACTCAGCAATTAGCTTGATATGTTCAAGAAAGAGAAAGATCACTGTGGCTAGCTAGGGCAGGGTGGGGTGGAACGTATACCATACACATTCCAGTGTTCTACAACTGTAAGTTTTATCTACTTCCAAAACATGATTATTATCCTAAAAAAATCTCATTTCCATTAAGTAATCATTCCCCATTCTCCCCTTACCACTACCCCACAGCAAACAATAATCAGCTTTCTGATAAATGCAACCATACAATATATGACCTATTCTGTCTGGCTTCTTTTACTTCACATCATGTTTTTAAGGCTCATCCATGTTAGAGGATGTACCAGCACTTTATTCCTCTTAATGGCTGAATAATATTTTATTGTATAAATATGCCACATTTTGGTTATTCATTTACCAGTTGATGGACATTTCAGGTGTTTCTACCTTTTGGCTGTGGTGAATAGTTCTTCTATTAAGACTTATAAACAAATGTTTGTTTGAACATTGGTTTATAATTTCTTTGGGTATATACCTATGCCTGGAATTGCCGTGGCATATGGTAATTCTATGTTTAACTTTTTGAGGAATTGCTAAACTGTTTTTCACTCAAGCTGTACCATTTTACATATCTTTGAGCAATGTTCAAAGACTCAATTTCTCATGTCTTCTTTAACAATGTTGTCTGTTTTTTTTTAATTTTTGTTTTGTTTTGTTTGAATTATAGCCATCCTAGGGACTGTGAAGTACTAATTATGTTGACACAATTTTCATGTGTCTATTGGCTGTTTGTATATCCACTTTGGATGAATATCCATTCAGATCCTTTGCTCATTTTCAAAACTGGTTATTTGTCTTTGTAATATTGGGTTTTAAATATTCTTTGTATTTTCTGCATAGGAGTCCCTTATGAGATACGTGATTTGTAAAATATTTCTCCCACTCTCTGGATTGTCTTTTCACTTTCTTGAAAATGTGATTTGCTACACAAGTTTAAAAAATATTTTTATTTTTAATTTTTGTGGGGACATAGTATTTGTACATGAGATATTTTGATACAGGTATACAATGTGTAATAATCATATCATGTAGAGTGGGGTATCCATCCCCTCAAGCATTTATCCTCTGTGTTACAAACAGTCCAATTATACTCTTTTAGTTACTTTTAAATGTACAATTAAGTTATTATTGACTATAGTCATCCTGTTGTGCTGTCAAATAGTAGGTCTTATTCATTCTAACTATTTTGGAACTCATTAACCATCCCCACCTCCTCGCCATCCCCACTACTTTTCCCAGCTTGTGGTAACCATCTTTCTACTCTCTATGTCCATGAGTTAAATTAATTTTTAGATCTCACAAATAAGTGAGAACATGTGACATTTGTCTTTCTTTTTTTTTTAATTTTAAGTTCAGGGGTACATGTGCAGGATGTGCAGGTTTGTTACACAGGTAAACATGTGTCATGGGGGGTTGTTGTACAGATTATTTCATCACCCAGATATTAAGCCTAGTATTCCAAAATTTTTAATGTTGATAAAGTCCAATGTATTGTCTTTTTCTCTTGTTGGGTGTCTTTATGTGTCATATCTAAGAATCTATTGCCAAATCCATAATCATCAAGATTTACTCTTATATTTTCTTCTAAGAGTTTTATACTTTCTATTTTTATATTTAGATTTCTTATTCCTTTTGAGTGAATTCTTGTATATGGTATTAAGGTAGGGGTCAAAAGTCATTCTTTTTACATATAGGTATCCAATTGTCTCATCACCGTTTGTTAAAGACACTATTCTTTTCCCTCTGAATAGTGTTGGCACCTTTGTTGAAAATCAGTTGACTATAGATATATGGGTTCTGAATTCTCAGTTATGTTCTTATTGGTCTATATGTCTACCATTATGCTAATACCACAGTTTTTATTACTGCTGCCTTGTAATACATTTTGAAACTTAAAAGTGAGAGTCCTCCAACTTTGTTTTTCTTTTTCAAAATCATTTTGGCTAGTGTCCCTTGCAATTCCATATGAATTTTTTGGATTAGCTTTTTCATTTTGGCAAAAATGGCCATTAAAATTTTGATAGGGGTCACATTTGAATATATAGATTGTTTAGGGAAGCACTAGCATCTTTACAATACTAGGCATTTCTACCCATGAACACTGCGTGTCTTTCCAATTAAGTAGATGTTTTATTTCTTCAGCAGTGTTTCATACTTTTCATTGTACAAATCTCATACTTTTTGATTAAGTTCATTTCTAAGTATTTTATTCTTTTTATGCTATTATGAATGGAATTGTTCACATAATTTGATTTGCAAATTATTTATTACTAGTGTATGGAAATACAGCTCATTTTTATGTGTTTATTTTTATCCTGAAATTTTGCTGAGTTTGTTTAATAGCCCCAATAGATTTTTGTGTAGATTCCTTAGAATTATTTCTGTATAAAATCATCATTAGCCAGGCACAATGGCTCATTCTTATAATCACAGCACTTTGGGAGGTGGAGGTTTGCAGATCACTTGAGCCCAGGAGCTCAAGACTAGCCTGGGCAACATGGTGAAACCCCATCTCAACAAAAATATAAAAATTAGCTGGACATAGTAGTGTGCACCTGTAGTCCCTGCTAATCAGGAGGCTGAGGTGAAAAATCACTTGAGCCTGGGGAGGTTAAGGCTGCGGTGAGCCTTGATCACACAACTGCACCCCAGCCTGGGTGACAGAGCAAGACCTTGTCTCAAAAAAACAAAAAATTGTCATCTGAAAATAAAAACAATTTTACCTTTTTCTAATTTTGTTGATTTTTATTTCTTTTTCATACTTCATTGCTCTGGCTTGAACTTCCACGGCAATGCTGAATAAAAGTGGCAAATGTAAGCATCCTTGTTTTGCTCCTGATTTTAAGGGGACAATTTCTAGTCTTTCACCATTAACTATTATGTTAGCTATGGGTGTTACAATTCCATTTCGATTTGTCTATATTATTATTGATTGCATCTCTTTGTATAGCATTTTTAGTGGTTGTTCTAGTTGTTGCATTATATGTATATACACACACACATATAGACACACATATGTATATATTCCCCATGAATTTATGTGTACATATATGTGTATGTATATACACATGTGTGTGTATGCAGTTATGTACCATATAATATTTTTGCCACTGATGTATAAGAAGACAGTCCCATAAAATTATAATGAAGCTAAACAATTTCTATTGCCTAGTATTTACTATACTGTACTTTTTATCGTTATTTTAGAGTGTACTCATTCTACTTATAAAAAAAAGCTGTAAAACAAATTCAGGCAGGTCCCTGAGCAGGCATTCTTGAAGAAGGCATTGTTATCATAGGAAATGACAGCTTCATGCATGCTATTACCCCTAAAGACCTTCTAGTGGGAAAAGATGTGGAGGTGGTAGACAGTGATGTTGATGATCTTGACTCTGTGTAGGCCTACGCTAATGTGTATTTTTGTGTCTTAGTTTTTAACAAAAAAGTTGTAAAAGTAAATCAATTAAAAATGCAAATTTCTTAAATAGAAAATAGCTTATTAAATAAGATCTGAGAACAGGCAGACTGCCTCCTCAAGTGGGTCCCTGACCCCTCACCCCCGAGCAGCCTAACTGGGAGGCACCCCCCAGCAGAAGCACACTGACACCTCACACGGCAGGGTACTCCAACAGACCTGCAGCTGAGGGTCCTGTCTGTTAGAAGGAAAACTAACAAACAGAAAGGACATCCACACCAAAAACCCATCTGTACACCACCATCATCAAAGACCAAAAGTAGATAAAACCACAAAGATGGGGAAAAAACAGAGCAGAAAAACTGGAAACTCTAAAAAGCAGAGTGCCTCTCCTCCTCCAAAGGAACGCAGTTCCTCACCAGCAACGGAACAAAGCTGGACGGAGAATGACTTTGACGAGCTGAGAGAAGAAGGCTTCAGACGATCAAATTACTCCGAGCTACGGGAGGACATTCAAACCAAAGGCAAAGAAGTTGAAAACTTTGAAAAAAATTTAGAAGAATGTATAACTAGAATAACCAATACAGAGAAGTGCTTAAAGGAGCTGATGGAGCTGAAAAACCAAGGCTCGAGAACTACGTGAAGAATGCAGAAGCCTCAGGAGCCGATTCGATCAACTGGAAGAAAGGTATCAGCGATGGAAGATGAAATGAATGAAATGAAGTGAGAAGGGAAGTTTAGAGAAAAAAGAATAAAAAGAAACGAGCAAAGCCTCCAAGAAATATGGGACTATGTGAAACGACCAAATCTATGTCTGATTGGTGTAACTGAAAGCGACGGGGAGAATGGAACCAAGTTGGAAAACACTCTGCAGGATATTATCCAGGAGAACTTCCCCAATCTAGCAAGGCTGGCCAACATTCAGATTCAGGAAATACAGAGAACGCCACAAAGATAATCCTCGAGAAGAGCAACTCCAAGACACATAATTGTCAGATTCACCAAAGTTGAAATGAAGGAAAAAATGTTAAGGGCAGCCAGAGAAAAAGGTCGGGTTACCCTCAAAGGGAAGCCCATCAGACTAACAGCGGATCTCTCAGCAGAAACTCTACAAGGGAGAAGAGAGTGGGGGCCAATATTCAACATTCTTAAAGAAAAGAATTTTCAACCCAGAATTTCATATCCAGCCAAACTAAGCTTCATAAGTGAAGGAGAAATAAAATACTTTACAGACAAGCAAATGCTGAGAGATTTTGTCACCACCAGGCCTGCCCTAAAAGAGCTCCTGAAGGAAGCACTAAACATGGAAAGGAACAACCGGTACCAGCTGCTGCAAAATCATGCCAAAATGTAAAGACCATCGAGACTAGGAAGAAACTGCATCAACTAACAAGCAAAAGAACCAGCTAACATCATCATGACAGGATCAAATTCACACATAACACTATTAACTTTAAATGTAAATGGACTAAATGCTCCAATTAAAAGACACAGATTGGCAAATTGGATAAAGAGTCAAGACCCATCAGTGTGCTGTATTCAGGAAACCCATCTCACGTGCAGAGACATACATAGGCTCAAAATAAAAGGATGGAGGAAGACCTACCAAGCAAATGGAAAACAAAAAAAGACAGGAGTTGCAATCCTAGTCTTTGATAAAACAGACTTTAAACCAACAAAGATCAAAAGAGACAAAGAAGGCCATTACATAATGGTAAAGGGATCGATTCAACAAGAAGAGCTAACTATCCTAAATATATATGCACCCAATACAGGAGCACCCAGATTCATAAAGCAAGTCCTGAGTGACGTACAAAGAGACTTAGACTCCCACACATTAATAATGGGAGACTTTAACACCCCACTGTCAACATTAGACGGATCAACGAGACAGAAAGTCAACAAGGATACCCAGGAATTGAACTCAGCTCTGCACCAAGCAGACCTAATAGACATCTACAGAACTCTCCACCCCAAATCAACAGAATATACATTTTTTTCAGCACCACACCACACCTATTCCAAAATTGACCACATACTTGGAAGTAAAGCTCTCCTCAGCAAATGTAAAAGAACAGAAATTATAACAAACTATCTCTCAGACCACAGTGCAATCAAACTAGAACTCAGGATTAAGAATCTCACTCAAAACCACTCGACTACATGGAAACTGAACAACCTGCTCCTGAATGACTATTGGGTACATAACGAAATGAAGGCAGAAATAAAGATGTTCTTTGAAACCAACGAGAACAAAGACACAACATACCAGAATCTCTGGGATGCATTCAAAGCAGTGTGTAGAGGGAAATTTATAGCACTAAATGCCCACAAGAGAAAGCAGGAAAGATCCAAAATTGACACCCTAACATCACAATTAAAAGAACTAGAAAAGCAAGAGCAAACACATTCAAAAGCTAGCAGAAGGCAAGAATTAACTAAAATCGGAGCAGAACTGAAGGAAATAGAGACACAAAAAACCCTTCAAAAAATTAATGAATCCAGGAGCTGGTTTTTTGAAAGGATCAACAAATTTGATAAACCGCTAGCAAGACTAATAAAGAGAAAAAGAGAGAAGAATCAAATAGATGCAATAAAAAATGATAAAGGGGATATCACCACCGATCCCACAGAAATACAAACTACCATCAGAGAATACTACAAACACTTCTACGCAAATAAACTAGAAAATCTAGAAGAAATGGATAAATTCCTCGACACATACACTCTCCCAAGACTAAACCACGAAGAACTTGAATCTCTGAATAGACCAATAACAGGATCTGAAATTGTGGCAATAATCAATAGCTTACCAACAAAAAAGAGTCCAGGACCAGATGGATTCACAGCCGTATTCTACCAGAGGTACAAGGAGGAACTGGTACCATTCCTTCTGAAGCTATTCCAATCAATAGAAAAAGAGGGAATCCTCCCTAACTCATTTTATGAGGCCAGCATCATCCTGATACCAAAGCCTGGCAGAGACACAACCAAAAAAGAGAATTTTAGACCAATTTCCCTGATGAACATTGATGCAAAAATCCTCAGTAAAATACTGGCAAACCGAATCCAGCAGCACATCAAAAAGCTTATCCACCATGATCAAGTGGGCTTCATCCCTGGGATGCAAGGCTGGTTCAATATACACAAACCAATAAATGTAATCCAGCATATAAACAGAACCAAAGACAAAAACCACATGATTATCTCAATAGATGCAGAAAAGGCCTTTGACAAAATTCAACAACGCTTCATGCTAAAAACTCTCAATAAATTAGGCATTGATGGGACGTATCTCAAAATAATAAGACCTATCTATGACAAACCCACAGCTAATATCATACTGTATGGGCAAAAACTGGAAGCATTCCCTTTGAAAACTGGCACAAGACAGGGATGCCCTCTCTCACCACTCCTATTCAACATAGTGTTGGAAGTTCTGGCCAGGGCAATTAGGCAGGAGAAGGAAATAAAGGGTATTCAATTAGGAAAAGAGGAAGTCAAATTGTCCCTGTTTGCAGACGACATGATTGTATATCTAGAAAACCCCATTGTCTCAGGCCAAAATCTCCTTAAGCTGATAAGCAACTTCAGCAAAGTCTCAGGATACAAAATCAATGTACAAAAATCACAAGCATTCTTATACACCAACAACAGACAAACAGAGAGCCAAATCATGAGTGAACTCCCATTCACAATTGCTTCAAAGAGAATAAAATACCTAGGAATCCAACTTACAAGGGATGTGAAGGACCTCTTCAAGGAGAACTACAAACCACTGCTCAAGGAAATAAAAGAGGATACAAACAAATGGAAGAACATTCCGTGCTCATGGGTAGGAAGAATCAATATCGTGAAAATGGCCATACTGCCCAAGGTAATTTACAGATTCAATGCCATCCCCATCAAGCTACCAATGCCTTTCTTCACAGAATTGGAAAAAACTACTTTAAAGTTCATATGGAACCAAAAAAGAGCCCGCATCACCAAGTCAATCCAAAGCCAAAAGAACAAAGCTGGAGGCATCACACTACCTGACTTCAAACTGTACTACAAGGCTACAGTAACCAAAACAGCATGGTACTGGTACCAAAACAGAGATATAGATCAATGGAACAGAACAGAGCCCTCAGAAATAACACCACATATCTACAACTATCTGATCTTTGACAAACCTGAGAAAAACAAGCAATGGGGAAAGGATTCCCTATTTAATAAGTGGTGCTGGGAAAACTGGCTAGCCATATGTAGAAAGCTGAAACTGGATCCCTTCCTTACACCTTATACAAACATCAATTCAAGATGGATTAAAGACTTAAACATTAGATCTAAAACCACAAAAACCCTAGAAGAAAACCTAGGCATTACCATTCAGGACATAGACATGGGCAAGGACTTCATGTCTAAAACACCAAAAGCAATGGCAACAAAAGCCAAAATTGACAAATGGGATCTCATTAAACTAAAGAGCTTCTGCACAGCAAAAGAAACTACCATCAGAGTGAACAGGCAACCTACAAAATGGGAGAAAATTTTCGCAACCTACTCATCTGACAAAGGGCTAATATCCAGAATCTACAATGAATTCAAACAAATTGACAAGAAAAAAACAAACAACTCCATCAAAAAGTGGGCAAAGGACATGAACAGACACTTCTCAAAAGAAGACATTTATGCAGCCAAAAAACACATGAAAAAATGCTCACCATCACTGGCCATCAGAGAAATGCAAATCAAAACCACAATGAGATACCATCTCACACCAGTTAGAATGGCAATCATTAAAAAGTCAGGAAACAACAGGTGCTGGAGAGGATGTGGAGAAATGGGAACACTTTTACACTGTTGGTGGGACTGTAAACTAGTTCAACCATTGTGGAAGTCAGTGTGGCGATTCCTCAGGGATCTAGAACTAGAAACACCATTTGACCCAGCCATCCCATTACTGGGTATATACCCAAAGGACTATAAATCATGCTGCTATAAAGACACATGCACATGTATGTTTATTGCGGCACTATTCACAATAGCAAAGACTTGGAACCAATCCAAATGTCCAACAATGATAGACTGGATTAAGAAAATGTGGCACATATACACCATGGAATACTATGCAGCCATAAAAAATGATGAGTTCATGTCCTTTGTAGGGACATGGATGAAATTGGAAATCATCATTCTCAGTAAACTATCGCAAGAACAAAAAACCAAACACCGCATATTCTCACTCATAGGTGGGAATTGAACAATGAGAACACATGGACACAGGAAGGGGAACATCACACTCTGGGGCCTGTTGTGGGGTGGGGGGAGGGGGGAGGGATAGCATTGGGAGATATACCTAATGCTAGATGACGAGTTAGTGGGTGCAGCGCACCAGCATGGCACATGTATACATATGTAAGTAACCTGCACATTGTGCACATGTACCCTAAAACTTAAAGTACAATAATAAAAATAAATAAATAAATAAATAAAAATTAAAATTAAAAAAATATGAAAGAAAACATTTTTGTACAGCTATACAATGTATTTGTGTTTTAAGCTGTTAGCACAAAAGACTCAAAAAGTTTTAAAAATTTTAAAAACTTTGTAAAGTAAAAATGTTACAGTAAGCTGTGGTTAATTTATTACTAAAAGAGAAAAAAAATTAAATCAATTGTACCCTAAGAACACAGTGTTTATTATAAAGTCCATAGTAATATCCTAGGTGTTTACATTCACTCACCACCTACTCACAAAGCAATTTTCAGTCCCACAAGCTCCATTCATGCTAAGAACCCTATACAGGCATATCATTTTATATCTTTTGTACCATTTTTTACTGTACATTTTCTTTCTTTAGATATGTTTAGATAACAAAGATACTTATTGTGCTCCAACTGCTTATAACATTCAGTACAATAACCAGCTGTACAGATTTGTAGCATAGAAACAACAATAGATTATACCATATATCCTAGGTGGGTACCAGGCTATACCATCTAGTTTTGTGTAAGTACACTCTATAATATTTACACAGTGAGAAAATTGCCTAACAATGCATTTCTCAAAATGTTTCCCCATCATTAAGCAAGACTGTATATAACACATACACATATCTTATATAGCATAATTGTGTTATCACTATAATATTTTCATTATAAGTTTAGAAAGTTTACCTCCTTTCATATTCCTCTGTCCTCGCCATTTATAATTTATAATTGTATTAAATATTATTTTCTTCTTACATAAAATTAGAATTGCATAGTGTTGTACTTTTTGCTTCAACCATTAAATCGAATTTAGAAAACTCGTGAGAAAGAAAACCTACTATAATTTCCCATATTTTAACTTGCCATGCACTTTCTTCCTGATGTTCCAATATTCCTTCTTTTATTGTTTCTTTTCTGCTTGGAGAATTTTTTCCACCATTCTTTTAGGGGAAGTCTATCTAGTATATCTCTTTGATATTTTTTATTTTTTCATTTATTTCATGTGTGTTTGTAATTGTCCACTGAATAATTTTACTATGGCTGCTTTAAATTTTTTCCAAATAATTTTAACATCTCTGTCATCTTGAGTTTGACATCTATTCATTGTATCTTTTTAATTGTTTTGAAGGTTTTTGTTCTTGAGTTTTTCCTGGTTCTTTCCTGGTATGTTGAGTGATACTTTATTGAAACTGGACATTTTTATATTATAAAACTCTAGACCTTATTTTAACCTTCTATTTTAGCTGGCTTTCTCTGACACCACCACGGCAAGGAAAGTTGTCGGGGGATGTAAGCGGAGGAGGCAGGTGATGCTGCCTTACTAACCAGGTAGAGATAGAAGTCCAGGTTTTCTACTTGGCGTCTGACCTCCACTGAAACCTCACATATAGTCTCTGTTATCACTGGACCAGGGTGGAAGTTCTGGCTACCCATATGATCTCTACCAACACTACAGTGGTGGTGGCCTCATTACCACTGCGGAATGGCAAAAGTTCCTCTTCTCCGCTCGGCCTTTTTGGATAGCTCCCCGGACAGATGGAGAGAAGCACCTCATGACTGCCAGGTGAGAGTGAAAATCCAAGCTTCCCACATTTTTTCCACTGACACCAAAGGGAGTAGGACTTTATTACTTACTGGTGGAGATGAAGGTCCCAGCTTCCTACTGGCCTTTTCTAGAATCTCTGTGTCAGGGATGTTGAAGTGCCTCATTACAACCCCATAGAAGTGGAAATGTCTTCCCACTCATTCTTTGCTAGCATGGGTAGAATAGAACTATAGTCTTTTTTGTGGTGTTTGGATGTAGAGCAGTAATTGTCTGAAAGTTTCTGTCTTGCTAGTCTGCCCCTCTCCTGGTCTTTTGGCTACCAAAAGCAGGTCTTTATTGGAATTTTATTTTGGTCATTGTTGGTATTTCTAGGTTGCTACTTCTTCAATTTCAAGTCTGGAATATATGAGGAAAAAAGAATACCTTAAAATGTACCATCATGTTATCATCAGATATGAAAGTCCATAGCCAATCTGCCTTTTTCTCTACATCTTTTAGAGTAATACATACAGTCTGAAATATATACACATGAGTAATGCATTACACTAAAACATTATGACAGCTACAACATTACTAGGTGAGAGAAAATTGAAACTCATTTACTGAATACAAACGATTTATCAGGCATACACACACAGGTACAGATGTGTGTGGGAGAGGGAGAAGGAAAAGATTCTCGCGCACATACACACATATATGTATTAAATGTAAACTCATTAATATCACAGAAAATACATGAAATAAATAATATTACTATTCTTTAACAAATGGGAAAATTCTAATAGAAAGAGAGGCTAAGAACTTACTTAAAATCACACAGCAAAAGGTGTATCTGAACTTGAAACCAGATATATTTGTCTCAGTGTCTATATTTTTTACCAGGTTTTCTTTACCTCTTTATACCCCATAGTACCTAGCATGGTTGTTTGCATGTTGAGACTCAAAAAATATCTGTTGAGTAAGCAAATATATTTTAAAAATTAATGTAGCATCTGTTTCTCAAAACCAAAAACTCTTCTTATTTTTCCTACTTGAGTTAATACTGCATGACTGGTGCCACTCTCAAATCTGTGGGCTCCTGAATGTGTGTGTGTGTGTGTGTGTGTGTGTGTGTGTGTGTGTGCACATTTTAAACTCTGGAATATAAACTCCTTTTATACCCTGGAATATAATCTTTTTCATTTTAATTCATTACACATCTCTTCACCAAAACTTAGTTTGTGAATTAAATGAATGATGTTTTTCTTATGTAGAATTTTTCTTTTTTTGTATTTATTTTAATGTTGCTAACCCTAGCAATCTTTTATATTTATAATTTTTCATATTTTTGAGCCATTAACCCTAATAGACAATCTTATTTCTGTTTATATTTAAATTTGTAACACATAAGAATGATATTTATTGTACCCTTGTTCTTAAAATTTTTATTTTAATATTCTTAGATATTTGTTTTCATAAAAGTTTTAAGATAAGCTTTTGGGTGCTCTCAAAATTCTTGCTAAGATTTTGAATAAAACTGCTATTAGGATAAATTGACTATAATTGATATCTTTGTAATTTTGATTTTTATCTTTCATGAACATATCTATCCATTTATTTAATGTTCTTTTCTGTTTTTTTAATTTCTAAATTTTAAAAATAATTGATGCATAATAGTTGTACATATTTATAGAGCACAGTGTGTTGTTTCACTGTATGTATACATTATATAATGATTAAATCAGGGTAATTACCATATCTATCACTTAAAATATGTATCATTTCTTTGTGGTGATACCATTCAAAATCCTCTCTTCTAGCCATCTTAAAAGATAGAATACATTATCATTAGCTGTAGTCACCCTGCTATGTACTAAAACACCCAGAACTTACTGGAACTGCAATTTTGACCATTGACCAACCTTTTCCCATTTCTCATCCCCCATCCTCCCCAACTTCTAGTAACTGCTGTTCTATTCTCTACTCATATAATATCACCCTTTTAAAATTCCACATGAGTGAGATTATGTGGTGTTTGTCTTTCTGTGTCTGGCTCATTTCACTTAACATAATGATCTCCCAATCATCCATGTTGCTGTAAACAATAAGATTTCATTGTTTTATGTCTAAGTAGTATCAAACTAAAAAGGTTCCCCTCAGCAAATGAAACAATCAATGGAGTAAGGAGTCAACCTATAGAATGGAAGAATATATTTGCAAACTAGGCATCTGACAAGGGGTTAGTGTCCAGAATTTATAAGGAACTCATACAATTCAATAGCAGAAAAAAAAATAATCTGAATTAAAAATGGGCAAAAAACCTGAATAGACATTTATCGAAAGAAAACATGCATACAAATGGCCAACAGATATATGAAAAAAAACTCAACATTACTTATCATCAGGGAAATGCAAATCAAAACCACAATGAGATATCACTTTACCCCAGTTAGAAGGAGTTATTATCAGAGACAAAAAAAAAAAAATAAATTCTGGCAAGGATATGGAGAAAGGAAAAGATGGTGGGAATGTAAATTAGTACAGCCATTATGTAAAACAGTATGGAGGTTCCTTAAAAAATTAAAAATAGAACAACCATATGATCTAGCAATTCCATTCTTTTCCCTTTTTTATCAAGATGTATCCTTTCCATCTTAGGAACCTAGCCATTTGGATCTCCTCATTCTACATCTTATCTATATTTGTCATATATGTAGAGCAGAGAGGATTCCCCAAATAATTTGTAATGCTATCATAACCAGAAATCTATATGAGATTTTTTTCACTCAATAATATGTCCTGAACACACTTTCATTTTAATATCTTTAATGAATGCATAATATATCATCTTTAATGGCCAAAAATATACCAAAAGTGTAGACGTGTAATTATTATTTAACAAATTGTACTAACAGATAATTAAACTATTTAAAATTGTTCTTTTTACATATAATGTATTATATCACATATAATGACACCATTGAAATAAATGCATATAAACCTTTGTCTTCCTGTCAAATTCTCCCTTTAGGACAAATTACCTTTAAATAAAAGTGCTGGCTTCTTAGAGAACTAGTAAATGTCTTCAGGGATAGATAAGGCAATTATAGAAATCTGATTTGTATGTGACCACAGCCTAAACTCAGTTATATAATTTCTGATTCCCAGTCTTTTATGAGCAAAGAGTAGAGTCACAATCTCTCAATATTCTGTCCCATCTATTGAAGCCACCACAAAGTTCTCTGAATCAGAATCACATGTGGCTGTGTCTCACAGGGAAAAACAAAAGCAATCATGACAAACAATATAGTTTATTTCTCATGCTGTCACATGCAAAATAATTTTATGCCTGGTATTATGGTTCTATGGAATGAAGTTTTCAGACCCAGGCTTTTTCAAACTCACTATTTCTTCATTCCTAAGATACGATCCTTGCCCTTACAATTCAACATGACTGTTAGAGAGTTTGACATCTGCTTCATGATCCAGGAATCAAATGGAGAATAGGATGAAGAAGGGGCAATGGGCATGTAACAAGTCTTAACATGTCTTTGAAGCCCACACAAAACATTTCTGCTTTATTTATTTATTTATTTATTGGTTTTTTTCTTTTTTTTATTATTACTATACTTTAAGTTTTAGAGTACATGTGCACAACGTGTAGGTTTGTTACATATGTATACATGTGCCATGTTGGTAAGAGGAGCCTGAGAAATGTGGTCTTTATTCAGCTTATCATATGCCCAGCTAAAAACTAGATGTTGTATTCTGAAGGAAGAAAAGGAAGAATAGGTATTAGCTTAGTCACTTCACTATGCCTAAACCAAAGTACTGAGTACATAAGCATTCATCAGAGTGAAATATCCTCTCATCCTAGAACCTTTTTATTGAATTGGGCTGTTTCAAAGGGTTACATGTTGGAAAGATAAGGTATTAACCTAAGTGTCCAAAATTGTTTTGCTGTAATGTCTTTCTTAGTTTATTATCAAATCTTCAGAGATAATTTCCTTTTTCTTCAATATAGGGGAGCTGGCTTTTTCGTGCAATGGCTTTGAAATACCTCTACTCTCCCTAGAAGTAAAAAGGCACAAAAATGATGATATATTCATTGTCTTTCCTATTTTCTCATCAGTGTAACTCATGCTTCCATTGCTTGCAGCCAACAGATGTCACTGTTTCTGGCTAAAACAGACACACACAATCTAAAAATTCTTTGAACAAAAAGAGAGTCTAAGACACATAAGCATCTTAAAATTGACAAAAGAAAAAGTGAGTGGAACCTACTACACAATTTGCATGGCACAAGGATCCTCCTCTTCTTGTGCCCAAGAAGTACAGTTTTGGTGAGAAAGCCCAGTGACAGAAAATCAAAAAATGAGAAACAGGAGTCAGGCCTTAATGAGCAGTCCATCAGAAAGTGATGTAATGGGGGCATAGAGTGAGAAAAGGCATTCAGCACAGGCAAGATGAAGATGGAACAAGTGTGAGATTAATAGAAATAAATGAAACACATAAGGGAGTCAAGGAAATCTGAAATGAATTGTGAGTCTTGGGCATGATTTCCAGAGGGACAGGAGGAGGGTGATGAGGGGCCTTGAGGGTCAGCCGGCACATATTTAGTCAGTTATAATAAGGGAAAATTGCTTCCTCATTACAAGGCTAGAAAGGATGTTGATAAATTTTTCTCCCTTTTAGATAACTGCACAGAAGTTATAATTGGTATGAGGAAGCATGGGCAGCACGGTTCAGTCCCTTGCTCAACAGGAAAACCCTAGGGGCATGTGCCAAGCTGGATGATAATGACAGCTGTGACTATCAAATCATGCAGCTGGCCTTTCAGAGGAGACGGGGGTCGACCCCAGAGACAAACTGGTTATGTCTAGGTCTCCAAGGAGAGGAGTGAGGAACTCTTTTCCTGAAATGACCATAAAAATGACAAGTTTATTTAACAGGTATGGAGAAGGTGAAAGGAGCTATATGTAGTGGGATATTTTTAAATACAAAGTTATTCTTTCAGAGGAGATCAGGAACATGATTCCTGGGGACTTGACATTGTATTTAATAGGAAGTTCACTAGTTTTAGATAAATATCTTATTTTCTTGTCTACTCTGATTGTATGAAATGAAGAATCAAAATGAGACTCTCTTTTCTCAGATGTCCACAAATTTTCATAACAAACACAAACAAATGAAGATCTTAAGAATAAAACCCAAGACCTTTGTTATTTGGGAGTTATCTGGGTGCTGTCTTAGAAAAATCTGCGCATCATAAGAAAACTTCAAAAATGTTGACAGAAATGTCCTTTTGGCTTTATGATAATTTGTCTAAATTATTTGTGACAGTTTATATAATATGCTTTCAACATTTTACAAAGTAAACTGCAGGCTCACATGTGTATGATGTTCATACAGAAACCACCCTGGTTTGTTGGTGCATTTACAGATTTAGACCTAGATTATCAGTCTTACAGGAGCTGAACTGATCCCAATAGGTTGTTTTCCCAGATTATGCTAATAGCTGAACATCTGGAAAAAGAGTCAAAAAGAAAATATTTCACCTTTTAGAGATGATAATATAAGCCACAGTTTTTTTAGTCATATAACACATTAGTTTTAAAGATAAAACTTGGGACTGCATTCCTGGTGATATGTGTGTCTGTCTACACTGTACATGGCAGTACATCACTTTTTAAGGGTATAGAAATGAGCCATTGTAGGTCTCAAATGCTTAACACTAATGCTATTAGACTTGGTAAATCTTTACAGGACTCATAAAATAATATTTCTTATGCAGAAATCTGTTAGCGTCCCTGAACATTCAGGGAATAATAGAACTTCAGTTCCTGTGGCTTTCCAGTAAGCTTAAAATCAAATGTTTACTTCGTCTAGATTCATGGTTACTCTCTGAGCAGACATTCTACACTGGAGTAAGACAGTCTCTCTACATTACAAAATTATTTATTGCTTCTAAAAATTGAGAACCAATTTGTTATAATCTGTTCTTTTACAGATCCTCACATGAATACTTGAAACTCTGAAGTGATATTGTTTCCAACAGATTTGCCTCTCTGCGAATACTAAAATTATTTTAGGTAACTTGGTAGAGTACAGTAGCTTCCTTGCTATTTCTCTTTGATGAAGCTAGGGATTAACAAATGCCATTGTTCCTTGTCACAGACATTTACTGAAGATCTGCTTTGGCTGGACATACCATTATGCTCCACTACTGTATGGTGAGGTACAGTACATGTTTCCTTTCTAAGGGCGGGGGAGGCTTACAATCTTCTGGGGGAGATGGGAATGTGCATAAAGGGTAATCACAATGACAAACAGCATTTGTAAGGAGCCCCTTGAGAGGTGCAGGAAACCATAAGAAACAGAGGCCACTCAGAACTGGAAGTGAAGCTGGAGTCCATAAAGAACTCAAAGAGAGTCTAGAATTTAACCTAAGTCTTGAAGCAAAATAGGGCTTTGACAGATGGTTGAGTAAAAATAAAAATAAAAATAATAAATGGCCATTTTAAGACCATCTGAGCTAAGCAGGAGAATGGAATGTGCCAGCCAAATGCCAGGAATGATGAAGAGTTATTCTTGAGATGGTCTATAGGACATGTCTTTGGGATCTGAGAACATTAAAACAAACAAAGAAACAAACAAACAAACAGTTTGCCTCATTTAAGAGTGTCAAACAGAGTTAGAAGAAAGGGATGTTGTCTGTGTTTGTGGCTTGGGAAGACTGAAACTGCTTCCTGAAGGAGCTGCAATGCTCAGCATAGAATGTGATGCAAGGTATATTAAAGCAGGCAGCAGAGACTAAGAGAGAAGCCATCAAGCCCGATCCTTAAGAAGTTTCCCTATCACAGATATATAAGTGTGAGTAGACTGCATATTGAGGAGCTCACTGGCTCTTTTTGACATATGTCAGTTCATGCAAAAAGTCTTCACACCCACTAAATTCCATATCAAAAAAGGCTTGGTTTTGGAATGTTTGATTATTATGGTACGTTATTTTCTGCCAAAGCAATGTTAATTGTCAGAAATATAGGAATCAAATCTCTATTCAAGTCAGTAAGACCAGCTCTTATACAAGAAGCTCAAGGTGTAGCTTGATTTCATTTTTATTAATTGACTTAGCAGCAGAAATAATGATGAATTTAGTGGCATCTAAATGAGAACATTTTAAGGCCATTGAATAAGAAAAATTTCAACAGTATATTTTCAATGAAGCGTTTGATTTCACTTACAAAATCATCTCACCTCACAGAATTGTATTTCATTAGCAGTTATTACTGATCAATTAATTCTTAGAAAAGGGACATAAAATAGCAGAACCAGAGGCATTCTCACATAAACTCTCTGGCAGTTTCTTTGTCCATGTGAATCATCATCTTGCTCAGGAATTAGCACAGATACTGCTGGGGCAAAAGGCAATAAAATGACCTGTCTATGAGCTTAAGGATGCATTCAAATAAGGCAGGGAGCTACTTGACTCCACATGAAAGTGGGTTGAGATTCAGACTTTTAAGAATGAGTTATATGATTCATTGTGCACTTACTAGAGAGCCAAAGAAAATCCATCATAGAAACTAAGTGCAAAAGTAAGTCTTCTTGTGTCTTACAAAATTTTCTTCTTGACAAGGCCTATGAATTATACAATTAACACTAAAAAGCTTGCAAATAATGGCAAAAAAATTCTTAACATATGAACACAAATAAATAATATTTTAATCTTTAATTCATTTAAAGATTTTTTTAATACTATAGGAACATTGAAACATACAAAACATTGTGTCAATTGCTTTTGGTAATACAAGATTACATAAAAGCCAGCCACATCCTAAAACCAAACTACTGTGTGATTAGCAGAAATGCTAGTAGAATTGGGTTTAGCTCCTACCTTCCTTTTCGAATTGCTAATGCTATTCTTTGCCACTCATTTTCCTGAATATTCCCAGGCTATTTTTGAATCCCTTTATTTTTTAAATTGTTCCTAAATCATCAATTTTATTTCTCCTTCTTTAGGGGATTCAAGTTCTGCCCATGCTTTTGTGCCAATCTCAATCTTCACTTCCTCAATGAAACTTTTCAGATGCTCCAACCTGTTGTCTTTCCTACTTCCTCAACACCATTTATTTAGTTAACTTTAATAATCTATAAATTGCTTTACCTGTTTACTTACTGGTTCATCTGAAAATAAGTGAATGCTTTACCATCTACATGTCCAATGCTTTAAAGCAATTGGGAAATAGTAATTGTCATTGTTTCCCTATTTTGAACACAGTAATGTAATTCAAAATTGTTTTGTATTAAAAAAGAAAACACAAAGAAACCTTAAGCTAATTCCATTTATATCAACATAATCCAGTCCCTTTCTCAATAGAGAAAAATAAAACAGATTAAATTTTGTCTTCATTTTTTATTTATTTAATTTTTAGAGAGATAGGGTCTCTCTCTGTCACTTAGGCTGGAGTGCAGTGGTGTGTGATCATGACTTACTACAGCCTCGACCTCCATTTTGTTTGTAAAATATCATTTAAAACATATGTGAAAATCAACACATGGCTTGTCATTCTATAGCAAGGGGTGGCAAACTACAGCCCCGTGAACCAAATCCAAACTACCATCTACTTTTTGTAAATAAAGTTCTGTTGGAACCATACCCCACCTATTCATCTACTGGTCTGTGGCTGTTTTTGTGCCACAACATTAGAGTGGGGTAGAGGCAACAGAGACTGTACAGTCTGCAAAGCCTGTTTGCAATATGGTGATTTATAGTTTGCTGACCCTTTTTCTAGAGCAAGGCAGAAAGCTACGGTACACATTTTAACCTTTGAAAGCCTACTTAAATGTCAGTGGCTAAATGTCATTGATGAACAAAAGGAAATAGGGATTGTGTAGAAATGGTTGACTCAAGGACTGTGGCAGGAACAATACAAGAGGAATCTGGAGCGTCATATGGTGGCAGTAAATGAGGAAGTGCTCCATAAAGGATGTGAGCACAACAAAAAGGCACAGAAACTGACCTGAAAGAGCTCTCAATGTCCAGAACTGGAACAATTTGGGGCAAAAAATAAATAACAACAGTATTGGAATATAATCCATAGAAAAAAATTAAAACCCATATAAATATATAATTAATACATGCATGGAAAATAGAATATCACCATTAGAACACCATAATACTAACTGTTGCTGGAAAGATCCACCAATGAATGCTGAAATTCATGGGTGAAAATTTAAGAAGAAACAAGGTATTTGCAGAGTCTCAGGGTATCTTTCCCAAGATGTATCAATTTCAAATGAAAAAAATAATAAGAGTAAAGCAATCCAGTAGGCCATCACCTTAACCAAGTGGTTAAAGTTAACATCACCAGTAAAAAGACACATGAACATCAATTACCCCCTTGATATGATACATTGAGAAAGGCACATCGCCATTGTGGTATTCTTGCTAAAAATGCAACTTAAATCTACTCATGAGAAAATATTAGGCAAACCCCCCAAACGTGATAGTCTACAAAATAAGTAAATAATACTCTCCAAAATGCCAAGGTCATGAAAGAAAAAGGACAGAACTGTCACAGATTGGGGAATTCTAAGACACCACAAATAAATTCAATATAGGATCCTGTATTACATCCTGTAAGAGAAAGGGGACATAGGGGAAACACTGGCAAAATATGTATAGAAAGTTTAGTTAATTGATAATATTGTTGCAATGTTTATTTCGTATTTTTGATCATCATGCTATAGTTATATAAAATATTACATAAACTAGGTAAAGGTTATGAGGTTTTATGCAGGAACTCTCTGTACTATTTTTTACAAATTTTCTCTAAGTCTAAAATTCTTTCAAAATAAAAAAAATTGAAATCATTACCAAAAAAGTGAAATTATTTTAAAGTAAAATATTTGAAAAAATAGGTTTAGAAAAGAAAAAGCATAACTTTCTGATTAAGGAAAATAGAAACTCAGAGTGCTTCCTTTCATAGTGACAATATTCCTAGCTAATAAATTTAGGTTAATAACATGATTTCTAGATGCTGAAGAGAACAATTGTTGTAGCTGTTAAATTGTTTCTGGGTAAAAGTAGTTTCCTTGACTTTCATATAGTCACAGAATTTTAGCTATGATAGTAAAAGCTCAGAATAGTAGAAGAAATCCTAATTGAGTTGAAGAGGAGGAGGGCCAGACAGGATTGCCCTTGTTCTGTTGGGTCCTCACAGCCAGATATTCAGCACATGTCCTGACTACCTTAGGACCACCTGGAGACCGAGTGGCAGGTAACAGGCTAGACTTTGAAGGTCGCGAGGTTTCCCCTTCCCTTTTTCTATAGAAGGGAAGTTTTGTCTTTCTTGTACACTGAGGAAGACTTGATTTCTGTGCGTAGATTATGAAAATCATTGTCATTATTTTGGAGGTATATCTTATATTGGAATAAGGAATACAGAAAGTGAGAATGTTCTATATGCTGAAAAAACAATTAAAAAAAGAAAAAAAAACTTCCTCTATTTCAAAGAATTAACTCTGATATAAACTAGATGGTTTTTATTAATATATGGTAAATTTGGAAAATGTTTTAAGGTAAAACACATTATATTAATTTCAATCATTTGGCAAATATTCACTGAGAGTTTTTGTGTGCCCAACACTCTGTTAGCCATTACTGAAAATTTAAGCACATGATTCCTCAATGCATACAATCTTTGGAAGCAACAAATGAACTCACAAAAAATAAGAAAAATTAAATGAAAAAATATGACGATGAATACAAATAGGAAGAGATATTCAGAAAGATTAAGATATCCGCTAAAGGGAGTGCTCAGTACTGATGTCATAGGGAAGATTGGAGTTAGTCTGTTTCTTGAAAAGGATAATAATAACAATAATAACACCAAAATGTTGGCTTTATCATAAAGATTAAATAAGATACTGCAGAAAAAAAATAAGTCCTTTCCTTCAAAAATCCATGTTTTTTAAAAAGTTGCATATATACTAAAAAACTAAGAGTAAAAAATACCATTTTAATTTTATGAATCAAATATAAGAAAGTGTTCTTTAAATAAGACACAAAAGGCAAAGCCCTTAAAAGTAAAAAAGTATACATTGTACTAAATCACAAACTTTAAATTTGTCTGAATCCAAAAATTCCATAACCATAGCTTACAAAATCAAATAACATACTGGGAAAAAAAACATAGGCAAAAAATTAGGATAAGAAAGATATTTATTTGAGACAGGGTCTCACTCTCACCCAGGCTGGAGTGCAGTGGCATAATCATGGCTCACTGCAGCCTCAACCTCCAAGGCTCAAGTGATCCTCCTATCTCAGCCCACCAAAGTAGGCAGGACTATAGGTATGCACCACCACACCCAGCTAATTTTTTTTATTTTTAGTAGAGATGGGGTCTTTGTATTCTGTCTAGGCTGCTCTCAAATCCCTGGGCTCAAGCAATCCTCTTCTCTCAGCCTTTCAAGGTTACAGGCGTGAGCCACTGCATCCAGCCAATAAATATTTAGAATCAAGAATATAAATTACTTTGGGCAGTATGGCCATTTTCATGATACTAATTCTTCCTATCCACGAACATGGAATGTTTTTCCATTTGTTTGTGTCCTCTCTTATTTCCTTGAGCAGTGGTTTGTAGTTCTCTTTGAAGAGATCCTTCACATTCCTTATTAGCTATATTCCCATGTATTTTATTCTCTTTGTAGCAGTTGTGAATGGGAGTTCATTCATGATTTGGCTCTCTGCTTGTCTATTGTTGGTGTAAAGAAATGCTTGTGATTTTTGCACATTGATTTTGTATCCTAAGACCTTGCCAAAGTTGCTTATCAGCTTAAGGAGTTTTTGGGCTGAGACGTTGGGGTTTTCTAAATATAAAATCATGTCATCTGCAAACAGAGACAACTTGACTTCCTCTCTTCCTCTTTGAATATCATTTATTTCTTTCTCTTTCCTAATTGCCCTGGCCAGAACTTCCAACACTATCTTGAACAGGAGTGGTGAGAGAGGTCATCCTCATCTTGTACCAGTTTTCAAAGGGAATGCTTCCAGCTTTTGCCCATTCAATATGATATTGGCTGTGGCTTTGTCATAAATAGCTCTTACTATTTTGAGATGATATGTTCCATCAATACCTATTTTATTGAGAATTTTTAACATAAAGGGATATTGAATTTTATCAAAGGCCTTTTCTGCATCTATTGAGATAATTATATGGTTTTTGTCTTTAGTTCTGTTTATGTTGTGAATTACATATGTTGATTTGTGTATGTTGAACCAACCTTGCATCACGGGGAAGCATCCAACTTGAGCGTGGCTGATAAGATTTTGGATGTGCTGCTGAATTTGGTTTGCCAGTATATTATTAAAGATGTTTGCATCAATTTATAGATTCGATGCTATTTCCATCAAACTACCACTGACATTCTTTGCAGAACGAGGAAAAGCTACTTTAAATTTCATATGGAATCAAAGAAGATCCCATATAGCCAAGACAATTCTTAGCAAAAAGAACAAAGCTGGAGGTGTCATGCTACCTGATTTCAAACTATACTACAAGGCTACAGTAAGCAAAACAGCATGATACTGGTACCAAAACAGACATATAGACCAATGGAACAGAACAGAGACCTCAGAATTAGCACCACACACCTACAACCATCTGTTCTTCAACAAACCTGACAAAAACAAGCAGTGGGGAAAGGATCTCCTACTCAATAAATGGTGCTGGGAAAACTGGCTAGCCATATGCAGAAAACTGAAACTAGACCCTTTCCTTCACATTATACAAAAATTAACTCAATATGGATTAAAGACTTAAATGTAAAACGCAAAACCATGAAAACCCTAGAAGAACACATAGTCAATACCATTCAGGATGTAGGTATGGGCAAAGACTTCATGATAAAAATGCCAAAAGCAATTGCAACAAAAGCCAAAATTGACAAATGGGATATAATTAAACTAAACAGCTTCTGAACAGCAAAAGAAACTATCATCAGAGTGAGCAGGCAACCTACAGAATGGGAGAAAATTTTTGCAATCTACCCATCTGACAAAGGTCTAATATCCTAAATTTATAAGGAACCTAAACAAATTTACAAGAAAAAAAAAAACATCAAAAAGTAGGCAAAGGATATAAAAAGATACTTCTCAAAATAAGACATTTACACAGCCAACAAACATATGAAAAAAAGCTCAACATCACTGATCATTACAGAAATGCACATCAAAACCACAATGAGATACCATCTCATGTCAGTCAGAATGGCGATTATTAAAAAGTCAAGATTTAGATGCTGGCCAGGCTGTGGAGAAATAGGAATGCTTTTACACTGTTGGTGGGAATGTAAATTAGTTCAACCATTGTGGAAGATAGTATGGCAATTCCTCAAGGAACTAGAATCAAAAATACCACTTGACCCAGCAATGTCACTGCTGGGTATATACTCAAAGGATTATAAATCATTCTGCTATAAAGCCACATGCACACGTATGTTTATTGCAGCACTACTTACAATAACAAAGTCATGGAACCAACCCAAATGCCCATCAACAATAGACTGGTTAAACAAAATGTGGTACATATACACTGTGGAATACTATGCAGCCATAAAAAGGAATGAGAACATGTCCTTTTCAGGGACATGGATGAAGCTAGAAGCCATCATTCTCAGCAAACTAACACAGGAACAGAAAACCAAACACCACATGGTCTCACTCATAAGTGGGAGTTGAACAATGAGAACACATGGACACAGTGAGGGGAATAACATATACCAGGGCCTGTTGGAGGCTGGGGGACGTGAAGAGGGAACACAGAGGATGGGTCAACAGGTGCAGCAAACCACCATGGCACACGTATACCTATGTAACAAACCTGCACATTCTGCACATGTATCCCAGAACCTAAAGTAAAATAAAATGAAAGTTAATTTAATTTATAAAGAATACATAAATAACTCAGAAGACCCATGAACTTAAATCAAAATAAAATTACATCATTATTATCCCGGCTCTACCTGAAATTTTAGCATTTCCTTTTATTATAAATACAGTCAACAAACCAGAGTGGCTTGAATCATACCTGAGACTGTCAAGATTCAAATCTGTAGGTTGCAGACATCTAGAAATATTGTTTACATTCATCACTTTCTCCAAATTACAGTACTGTGGATTCACCACTATATCTTACTGTTTAATGCATTAATTTTAAAAATGTTCCTATATTATAATTTGTTTTTACCTTTTTGGTATTTATATTTTAATATAATTGAGTTCCGTTGGAATCCTATGTATTTTATTACAAAAAATTTAAAATATACTCTGAGAAGGAATTCACTGGGTTCGCTGGGCTGCCAAAGGGTCCTATGGTACAAAAAAGGCTAACTACCCCTGACCATGTTGATAAGAATAGAACTTTACCAAAAATGGTGAGAGTAAACAGCTAGTATCAAAATGCTGTGTATGCAATATGATATGACTTGTATGAGTTTTTACGAAAATCACACAAAATATCATATATTTTTCATGAAATCATATTCATGAATAACAATCTATAAATATAAATGTGAGGAGACACACTAAATTTATGCCTCTATAGTTTTTGCTGCTGGGAATAGAGAGGTGAATAGGACATGAGAAGATGGACAAAATATTTCATATTTAGGCACAGTATGTTATTTCTTTTCTTTAGAAAAACAGGAAAAACTGCTGGCATTTTTAACAACTATAAATTCTGGGCCATGGGTACAGTGGTGGTTGTGTGTTTCATTTTTTTTAATTCTCAAAATAAAAGTTGAATAAACGTGTATAAATCAATTCAAGGTAAGATACTGACTGTATAATAAACACTTCAGATGGGGAAAGATGGCCGAATAGGAACAGCTCCGATCTACAGCTCCCAGCGTGAGCGACGCAGAAGACGGGTGATTTCTGCATTTCCATCTGAGGTACCGGGTTCATCTCACTAGGGAGTGCCAGACAGTGGGCACAGGTCGGTGGGTGCGCGCACCGTGCGTGAGCCGAAGCAGGGTGAGGCATTGCCTCACTCAGGAAGTGCAAGGGGTCAGGGAGTTCCCTTTCCTAGTCAAAGAAAGGGGTGACAGACAGCACCTGGAAAATCGGGTCACTCCCACCCGAATACTGCGCTTTTCCGACGGGCTTAAAAAACGGCGCACCATGAGATTATATCCCACACCTGGCTCGGAGGGTCCTACGCCCACGGAGTCTCGCTGATTGCTAGCACAGCAGTCTGAGATCAAACTGCAAGGCGGCAGCCAGGCTGGGGGAGGGGCACCCGCCATTGCCCAGGCTTGCTTAGGTGAACAAAGCAGCAGGGAAGCTCGAACTGGGTGGCGCCCACCACAGCTCAAGGAAGCCTGCCTGCCTCTGTAGGCTCCACATCTGGGGGCAGGGCACAGACAAACAAAAAGACAGCAGTAACCTCTGCAGACTTAAATGTCCCTGTCTGACAGCTTTGAAGAGAGCAGTGGTTCTCCCAGTACGCAGCTGGAGAACTGAGAACGGGCAGACTGCCTCCTCAAGTGGGTCCCTGACCCCTCACCCTCGAGCAGCCTAACTGGGAGGCACCCCCAGCAGGGGCACACTGACACCTCACACGGCAGGGTACTCCAACAGACCTGCAGCTGAGGGTCCTGTCTGTTAGAAGGAAAACTAACAAACAGAAAGGACATCCACACCAAAAGGACATCACCATCATCAAAGACCAAAAGTAGATAAAACCACAAAGATGGGGAAAAAACAGAACAGAAAAACTGGAAACTCTAAAACACAGAGCGCCTCTCCTCCTCCAAAGGAATGCAGCTCCTCACCAGCAATGGAACAAAGCTGGACGGAGAATGACTTTGACGAGCTGAGAGAAGACGGCTTCAGACGATCAAATTACTCCGAGCTACGGGAGGACATTCAAACCAAAGGCAAAGAAGTTGAATACTTTGAAAAAAATTTAGAAGAATGTATAACTAGAATAACCAATACAGAGAAGTGCTTAAAGGAGCTGATGGAGCTGAAAACCAAGGCTCGAGAACTACGTGAAGAATGCAGAAGCCTCAGGAGCCGATTCGATCAACTGGAAGAAAGGGTATCAGTGATGGAAGATGAAATGAATGAAATGAGGTGAGAAGGGAACTTTAGAGAAAAAACAATAAAAAGAAACGAGCAAAGCCTCCAAGAAATATGGGACTATGAGAAAAGACCAAATCTATGTCTGATTGGTGTACCTGAAAGCGACGGGGAGAATGGAACCAAGTTGGAAAACACTCTGCAGGATATTATCCAGGAGAACTTCCCCAATCTAGCAAGGCAGGCCAACATTCAGATTCAGGAAATACAGAGAACGCCACAAAGATACTCCTCGAGAAGAGCAACTCCAAGACACATAATTGTCAGATTCACCAAAGTTGAAATGAAGGAAAAAATGTTAAGGGCAGCCAGAGAGAAATGTCGGGTTACCCTCAAAGGGAAGCCCATCAGACTAACAGTGGATCTCTCGGCAGAAACCCTACAAGCCAGAAGAGAGTGGGGGCCAATATTCAACATACTTAAAAGAATTTTCAACCCAGAATTTCATATCCAGCCAAACTAAGCTTCATAAGTGAAGGAGAAATAAAATACTTTACGGACAAGCAAATGCTGAGAGATTTTGTCACCACCGGGCCTGCCCTAAAAGAGCTCCTGAAGGAAGCACTAAACATGGAAAGGAACAACCGGTACCAGCCGCTGCAAAATCATGCCAATATGTAAAGAGCATCGAGACTAGGAAGAAACTGCATCAACTAACGAGCAAAATAACCAGCTAACATCATCATGACAGGATCAAATTCACACATAACAATATTAACTTTAAATGTAAATGGACTAAATGCTCCAATTAAAAGACACAGACTGGCAAATTCAATAGTCAAGACCCATCAGTGTGCTGTATTCAGGAAACCCATCTCACATACAGAGACACACATAGGCTCAAAATAAAAGGATGGAGGAAGATCTATCAAGCAAATGGAAAACAAAAAAAGGCAGGGGTTGCAATCCTAGTCTCTGATAAAACAGACTTTAAACCAATAAAGATCAAAAGAGACAAAGAAGGCCATTACATAATGGTAAAGGGATCAATTCAACAAGAAGAGCTAACTATCCTAAATATATATGCACCCAATACAGGAGCACCCAGATTCATAAAGCAAGTCCTGAGTGACGTACAAAGAGACTTAGACTGCCACACATTAATAATGGGAGACTTTAACACCCCACTGTCAATATTAGACAGATCAACGAGACAGAAAGTCAACAAGGATACCCAGGAATTGAACTCAGCTCTGCACCAAGCGGACCTAATAGACATCTACAGAACTCTCCACCCCAAATCAACAGAATATACATTTTTTTCAGCACCACACCACACCTATTCCAAAATTGACCACAAACTTGGAAGTAAAGCTCTCCTCAGCAAATGT
Source organism: Homo sapiens (assembly GCF_000001405.40). Lineage (NCBI taxonomy): Eukaryota > Metazoa > Chordata > Mammalia > Primates > Hominidae > Homo > Homo sapiens. The sequence goes on from NC_000002.12 coordinate 57,611,457, forward strand.
AAAAGAACAGAAATTATAACAAACTATCTCTCAGACCACAGTGCAATCAAACTAGAACTCAGGATTAAGAATCTCACTCAAAACCGCTCAACTACATGGAAATTGAACAACCTGCTCCTGAATGACTATTGGGTACATAACGAAATGAAGGCAGAAATAAAGATGTTCTTTGAAACCAACGAGAACAAAGACACAACATAGCAGAATCTCTGGGATGCATTCAAAGCAGTGTGTAGAGGGAAATTTATAGCACTAAATGCCCACAAGAGAAAGCAGGAAAGATCCAAAATTGACACCCTAACATCACAATTAAAAGAACTAGAAAAGCAAGAGCAAACACATTCAAAAGCTAGCAGAAGGCAAGAAATAACTAAAATCAGAGCAGAACTGAAGGAAATAGAGACACGAAAAACCCTTCAAAAAATTAATGAATCCAGGAGCTGGTTTTTTGAAAGGATCAAAAAAATAGATAGACCACTAACAAGACTAATAAAGAAAAAAAGAGAGAAGAATCAAATAGACACAATAAAAAATGATAAAGGGGATATCACCACCGATCCCACAGAAATACAAACTACCATCAGAAAATACTACAAACACCTCTACGCAAATAAACTAGAAAATCTAGAAGAAATGGATAAATTCCTCGACACATACATTCTCCCAAGACTAAACCACGAAGAACTTGAATCTCTGAATAGACCAATAACGGGATCTGAAATTGTGGCAATAATCAATAGCTTACCAACAAAAAAGAGTCCAGGACCAGAGGGATTCACAGCCGTATTCTACCAGAGGTACAAGGAGGAACTGGTACCATTCCTTCTGAAACTATTCCAATCAATAGAAAAAGAGGGAATCCTCCCTAACTCATTTTATGAGGCCAGCATCATTCTGATACCAAAGCCTGGCAGAGACACAACCAAAAAAGAGAATTTTAGACCAATTTCCCTGATGAACATTGATGCAAAAATCCTCAATAAAATACTGGCAAACCGAATCCAGCAGCACATCAAAAAGCTTATCCACCATGATCAAGTGGGCTTCATCCCTGGGATGCAAGGCTGGTTCAATATACACAAATCAATAAATGTAATCCAGCATATAAACAGAGCCAAAGACAAAAACCACATGATTACCTCAATAGATGCAGAAAAGGCCTTTGACAAAATTCAACAACCCTTCATGCTAAAAACTCTCAATAAATTAGGTATTGATGGGACGTATTTCAAAATAATAAGAGCTATCTATGACAAACCCACAGCCCATATCATACTGAATGGGCAAAAACTGGAAGCATTCCCTTTGAAAACTGGCACAAGACAGGGATGCCCTCTCTCACCACTCCTATTCAACATAGTGTTGGAAGTTCTGGCCAGGGCAATTAGGCAGGAGAAGGAAATAAAGGGTATTCAATTAGGAAAAGAGGAAGTCAAATTGTCCCTGTTTGCAGACGACATGATTGTATATCTAGAAAACCCCATTGTCTCAGGCCAAAATCTCCTTAAGCTGATAAGCAACTTCAGCAAAGTCTCAGGATACAAAATCAATGTACAAAAATCACAAGCATTCTTATACACCAACAACAGACAAACAGAGAGCCAAATCATGAGTGAACTCCCATTCACAATTGCTTCAAAGAGAATAAAATACCTAGGAATCCAACTTACAAGGGATGTGAAGGACCTCTACAAGGAGAACTACAAACCACTGCTCAAGGAAATAAAAGAGGATACAAACAAATGGAAGAACATTCCATGCTCATGGGTAGGAAGAATCAATATCGTGAAAATGGCCATACTGCCCAAGGTAATTTACAGATTCAATGCCGTCCCCATCAAGATACCAATGCCTTTCTTCACAGAATTGGAAAAAACTACTTTAAAGTTCATATGGAACCAAAAAAGAGCCCGCATCACCAAGTCAATCCAAAGCCAAAAGAACAAAGCTGGAGGCATCACACTACCTGACTTCAAACTATACTACAAGGCTACAGTAACCAAAACAGCATGGTACTGGTACCAAAACAGAGATATAGATCAATGGAACAGAACAGAGCCCTCAGAAATAACACCACATATCTACAACTATCTGATCTTTGACAAACCTGAGAAAAACAAGCAATGGGGAAAGGATTCCCTATTTAATAAATGGTGCTGGGAAAACTGGCTAGCCATATGTAGAAAGCTGAAACTGGATCCCTTCCTTACACCTTATATAAACATCAATTCAAGATGGATTAAAGACTTAAACATTAGACCTAAAACCATAAAAACCCAGAAGAAAACCTAGGCAATATCATTCAGGACATAGGCATGGGCAAGGACTTCATGCCTAAAACACCAAAAGCAGTGGCAACAAAAGCCAAAATTGACAAATGGGATCTAATTAAACTAAAGAGCTTCTGCACAGCAAAAGAAACTACCATCCGAGTGAACAGGCAACCTACAAAATGGGAGAACATTTTCGCAACCTACTCATCTGACAAAGGGCTAATATCCAGAATCTACAATGAACTCAAACAAATTGACAAGAAAAAAACAAACAACTCCATCAAAAAGTGGGCAAAGGACATGAACAGACACTTCTCAAAAGAAGACATTTATGCAGCCAAAAAAACACATGAAAAAATGCTCATCATCACTGGCCATCAGAGAAATGCAAATCAAAACCACAATGAGATACCATCTCACACCAGTTAGAATGGCAATCACTAAAAAGTCAGGAAAAAACAGGTGCTGGAGAGGATGTGGAGAAATAGGAACACTTTTACACTGTTGGTGGGACTGTAAACTAGTTCAACCATTGCGGAAGTCAGTGTGGCGATTCCTCAGGGATCTAGAACTAGAAATACCATTTGACCCAGCCATCCCATTACTGGGTATATACCCAAAGGACTATAAATCATGCTGCTATAAAGACACATGCACACATATGTTTATTGTGGCACTATTCACAATAGCAAAGACTTAGAACCAACCCAAATGTCCAACGATAGACTGGATTAAGAAAATGTGGCACATATACACCATGGAATACTATGCAGTCATAGAAAATGATGAGTTCATGTCCTTTGTAGGGACATGGATGAAATTGGAAATCATCATTCTCAGTAAACTATCACAAGAACAAAAAACCAAACACCGCATATTCTCACTCATAGGTGGGAGTTGAACAATGAGATCACATGGACACAGGAAGGGGAACATCACACTCTGGGGCCTGTTGTGGGGTGGGGGGAGGGGGGAGGGATAGCATTGGGAGATATACCTAATGCTAGATGACGAGTTAGTGGGTGCAGCGTGCCAGCGTGGCACAGGTATACATATGTAACTAACCTGCACAATGTGCACATGTACCCTAAAACTTAAAGTATAATAATAAAAGAAAAAATAAATAAATAAATAAAGTTTTATGGGAACACACACACAAAAAAAAACACTTCATAGCTTTCATGCATTTCTGTTAATGCTATCAAAAAGAGAGTATTTGGAAAGCAAAAGTGGAGAGAGTGAGCCTTCCAGGTGAGGAAAACCACATGAGTAAAGGCACATTCAAGATGAGTAGGTCAAGAGTTAATGAGATGTTAATAGTCTTTTGTAGCAATCATCCAAGCTGGAAGTGTTTCTATGACTTATTTGTGTTTCCGGTTCATGATCCAGAACATAAAGCCCTGATTTCCCCATTACTGGGTATGCAGGTGAAACCAGCCCTGGGAGGGCTGGCAGCCCAGGGCCGACCTTGGTGATCTGGTGTTTACTGGATAACTGGGCTTTTTAGAGAGAAGTGTGCAAGTCTGGGCAGCACCACTGACTGACTGGGAGGAAGCTCTTAAAAAGGCTACCTTACCAAACTGGAGCACGCATACCTGAAAAGTTTCTGGATGAGGATGGAGAACCTTATTCAGAGATGGCCTAATCAAGATGAAATAAAGTAGGGAAGGCTTTGCATGAAAATCACCTGTTTTAATTATGTAAAAGTCAGGCACATGCAAGTTGTTAGTGGAAGTTCTAAATAACAGTTATTTCAGCTTACTTTTTCTTCTTTTTCTTTTCTTTCTTTCTTTTTTTTTTTTTTTTTTTTGTAAGTTGTTTTCCAAAAAGGCATTCCAAAGAGTAGAGTTTTACAGTTAAATAAGTTAGGAAGTATTATATAATTTACTTCCTCTTGGAAAGTCACAATACATATTAGATATTAAAAGCTCTGAGGAGTCCTATTTTCTTTCTTCAACCCAGCATCTCCCAAACTGACTAGCATCTCATAAAAATTATGTTCTAAGATCCTTTTGGAAATACTAATGTTTCAAAACATCAAAACAACTTTAGCCATTTTTTGTCAGGGAGAAAAATTTCATAAATACCCGCTTCACACCTCAAGCATGACACTAAAAGATGATTACAAATATATTAGGTACATAAAGCTGAATGAATTTCCAAGGCAGCAGTTTACCTCATAGGTCTGATCATTGTCAAAAGTCTCTTTATGGTTTATGGTCCTGTCAGAAACCCTCAGTTCTCCCATATGTACATATATGGTACTCTTTCCCTCCCAGTTAATTATGCCATAAATAATTTCTTCTTATCTGCATATCAATTACAAGGTAATGAATGCCACTTCATATTATGTGAAATACAAATCAAGCTCTAGGCCCCGTGAGATAATTTTCTTGGCCAAACTCCCAGGCCCTGTACTTGGTATGAACTTCAATTGTGTCTCTAGGATTAGTGAATGTTATGCTTCTAAGTGGTGATCTGTTTATTTCATGCCACATTTTCAAGCTGTCTTTTTCTCACATGTACCATTAAGCATTATATTGAGTTTTTTTTTAAGGTTTTCAATTCACTTTATTTTTGTAAAATTTCTCTATTCAAATTTATCTCAATGTGCAATTTGCTCATACCTCATCTCTCTAGAGAGCTTTGAGGTTACTCTTTCCCTACAAGGTGCTTGCAGAAAAAAATAGCAGCTAAAATTCACAAGTGGCAAAGGCATGTTTTCTTCTCCCCAATTTTTAACATGCTTGCTCCAATGAAAATAAAGTCTTGCTTGCAGATGTACCAAAGGAGACATCTCATTCATTGACTTTACTTTTTTATAAAGTCATACACCAGTGCCAATTCTTTTTGTATATGCTATGTAGTACAGGTTCTTCCTTCTTTATCTAAAATTTGGGGTATCAATTTCACATTGGGAATTTATTTGAAATCAGTGAGAGAAATATTTCTATCTGAAAGATATTATATTTGAGATTGAGTCAGGCATCATACTGAGAAAAGGATCAAGGAAATATAACAACTGTTGAAAAACTGAAACTCAATGTGTAAAATATTATCAAACATGGAAGTAGAATACAGTGAAGGTGCACAATTGAAAAGAGCATTTTTCTTTGACAATTTAAACAGCTGTATCTGTATTTCAGTGCTGAAATCCTCTGTGCATTTGCTTAACAACAATGTCTTCCCATACCCATGCTTAAATAATTTCCTTCTGAAGGATAAAAGATAGGCACTAAAAATTATATTTTTAACATTAAACTTGAATACTTTATCTTGAAATTTAAACCTCATGTGACTCAAAGGAATTTAAATTATTTTCTGAGATCTAGGACTTTCTTTTTGGTTATGAAACTCTTTGACCTTTTTTCCCATTGACACAAAATTATGAATTTAACAAAGAAAATCCACAACTCAAATCAACCAAGGTCTATGTAAATAAACTTTGCAAATAGTAGGATTTGAGACACCACATGTTTCTAACCACTTTATAAATCATACTTCTTGGCTGTTCAGAATATGGGAATCAGGGATTTTTTTAAATGAGAAGACAGTCTTAATTTCAGAGTCACTCTTTAAGGCTATATTTCACACCACGTTTTGAGACAGCACTTGGATTCTAACATGGGAGCCCAATGCAGCTGAGCCATGAATGACTGGCTTCTGAAATAAGCCAAATCAAGATAAAACATTGCAAAATGTAACCCAGTGGATACCCCAAAGACATCACTGCAGGAAAAATACTTTTTTTAAAAAATTGAGGAACCACAGGTGTGACAGAAACTCATATTTTCACAGTTGAGCTCAACAGCATCGTTGTGGTTTTTGGTGCTCTCATTAAAACACATTGTTGAAAATATACGACTATTTTCATCTTCTCTTATCCTGTTTACACAGATTTCAGGCTCTAATTGTCTTTTACTCTCTTGAACTCATCAAGCAAACAGAGTTGGTATAGTTAGAAAACATACTTCTGTAGAGAGCACAGTAAGTTGTAAAGACTATATTGTATTATTTCTCTTTCCTAGTAATGAAAATGAATTTTTTAAAATGTTGCTGGATTAATGAGTTTTGTTGTATCTATTTTCTTTTTATTGTATGCTTTTATGTTTTAATATTTAATGTAGTTCATTCAGTTATTCAGTGAATAATAGTCAAGGTTGTCCTTTTATTCATAACTTCAACATAATACATTTGCATTTCAAGTATTATACTTTATTATTTGTAAAAATCCATGACTTGCTTGTCAATTAGTATATTTGTGTGCTAGGAAATATACATATCTTTTAAATTGTGTACATTAATTATACATATTCAAACACATTGATATTTAAAGAGAAATCTAGCTATTCTTATATCAGACAAAACAAACTTTAAAGCCACAGCAGTTTAAAAAGACAAAGAGGGACACTATATAATTATCAAAGGTCTTGTCCAACAGGAAAATATCATAATACTATAAATATATATGCATCTAACACTGGAGTTCCCAAATTTATAAAACAATTACTACTAGACCTTAGAAATGAGATAGACAACAACACGATAATAGTAGGGGACTTCAATACTCCACTGACAGCACTAAACAGGTCATCAAGACAGAAAGTCAACAAAGAAACAATGGATTTAAACTATAATCTAGAACAAATGAACTTAACAGGTATTTCCAGAACATTCTATGCAACAACTGCAGAATATACACTTCTCTTCATCAGCAGATGCAACTTTCTCCAAGATAGACCATATGATAGGCCACAAAACAAGTCTCAATAAATTTAAGAAAATTGATATTATATCAAGTACTCTCTCAGACCACAGTGGAATAAAATTGGAAATCAACTCCAAAAGGAGCCTTCAAACCAATCAAGTACATGGAAATTAAAAACCTACTCTTGAATGACCATTGGGTCAACAATGACATCAAAATGAAAATTTAAAAATTATTTGAACTGAACGATAATAGTGATACAACCTATCAAAACCTCTGGGATACAGCAAAGACAGTGCTAAGAAGAAAGTTCATAGCTTTACATGCCTACATCAAAAAGTCTGAAAGAGCACAAATAGTTAATATGAAGTCACACCTCAAGGAACTAGAGAAATAAGAACAAACCAAACCCAAACTCTGCAGAAGAAAATAAATAACCAAGATCAGAGCAGACCTAAATAAAGTTGAAACAAAAATTTTCAACTTACTCTTGATTTGTTGAGACGTTAAGGTACAGGGAAAATCTGAATACACCAATAATTTATGAGTAAAATTTCCAAAGGCACTTCAAAATTATAGGTAATTCAGAAGTATTACTTCCTTTCCAGCAAATATTCTTCTAAAATGCATTTTTAATAGTACATTGCCTGATCTGAGTCTTTCAATATCTCTACTTACTCTTCATTTGAGACACTGAAAAGCAATAGCAGAGAATACAAATATTGCTAAGACATATGCCTGACTAACAACCATCAGGCTGGGAAATGTCTTCAGGATTTTAGCACAAGTCTTAGAACAACACAGACATAATTCAGAAAGTGAAGTAGAACAACACAGACATAATTCAGAAAGTGAAGTAGGAAACACTTTGTATCTGGCAAGGCATCATGGGGAATCAAATTACTCAAGGCTAGCTGTATCACTGGAAAGAGAAGAAAGTGCAATGAGAGGCCTAGATAGCTCCATTCTGTGGGAGTCATAGTTATACCTAGCAGCCAGTCTCTTCTTCCCTCACATTCCCTGTGAAGGTAAATGATTTCATACTGACTTTTCTATTTTTGATGTTTTTAGTAAAAGACAATAGTGTTGATTTGACATAATCAATTTCTTCTATTTGAGTTTGGGAAAATTACTTAACAATTTTAAATCTTGGCTTTTTTATCTAAAAAGTAGAAAAAAATGAATACTTATTCATTTTTAAAGTCATTAGAAAGAGTAAATGAATCAATCCATATTACCATGATATATGGCATGCTGTCAATGCTTATAAAGTTTTATCTGTCATTGATTTCCAAAAATAACATTAACCTCTTTGAGACTGTCTTTTTTTATTCAGTAAAATGAAGATCATACTGCCAACTTATATATTATTTTGTAGACCGAATGAGCCAATATATTGTTAAACATTTGGCATAGTGCCTAGCATGTAGTAAGTGCTCAAAAAAGGTAAGTTCTTTTCTCCTCTCTAAATCAATCCTATAGTCTAACTTTAGCTCTGCGGTACCAAGATTCACATAGCTCCACTGGTGCTGCCAGCCACTGATGGGCAGGCGAACTGCTTCAGCCATTCTTGGAGGTTCTTTCCCAGGTTCTGAAATGGGTACATAAAATGTGCTTTACAAGGTTGTTCTGAGGATCAAATGTGCACTAAGTAACAGGTAAAATTAAATAATATATAATTATAAATTTGTTTGAAAGAAGAGGCAAAGAGATGGTGCACGCGAAAGCAATAAGGCCTAATCATCCACAGAAAACAAATGTTGAAGAAATTTAAAGTTCTCTGACTTATTAAATAGATCAAGCTTCCCAGAATCCACTTCTCTCTTTTAGACTTTTCTTCCTTTATTCTGAGCAGAAGCATGGCCAGGCCCCCTCTGTCCCTTCGGACATTGCAATCCCACCTGCAAGGTGTTTTTGGATTAACCCTAAACACTTCAAAAAGAAAGACAAAGTGGAGCTAATTTGAAGAAATATGAAGAAAAAGAGGCCGATTCTTGTTCTAACTTGAGAATTTTCAAAATGCAAAGTGGACCAATATCGGATATTTTTAATGAGTCCTAATTATAAATACATTTGTGTAGCACAATTTAATTTATTGGAAGAACTAATTTTATTCAATCTTTTTTTAATGTGAAAGCAAAATCTCCAATATGTTGCCATAACACAATAAATATAATTTTCCAAGCCAGAAACCATGGCAACAGTTTTTAATAATAGAATATGATTGGCTGCATATGAAAAAATAAAACCACACTCTAAATAATTAAACTGTTTCTCAATATAAAATGATAATATCTCAAGCATTTTCCTGTTTTTATGTGTTCAATGTGATACACTGTTTCAGTCTGCTGGGAAACCTATAATTACCAGACTGTCTTTTCATGTAATACATTCTTTTTGTCACTAATCCATGAATTAAAATGATATTTCAAAGAAAATAACCTGTCTGAAAAAGAGAAACCTGAGAATTAGGTCCTTTAGAATGAATTCTTTTTATATTGGTTCACCCAGTTGAATGTATTTTCTTTATGATTTTGGAGGAAAGTTTTTTTTTGTCATTTTTAAAAGGGGTCAGTTCAAGAATACTGGTTTAAATCAGATGTCTAACAATTTGGCCTCACATATATGTATTCATATATTTCAGGACACCAAACAAACAGGCAAAAGCTTTTCATTGACACAATGTCTGCCCATGTAACAAAAATCTGCGGAGAAAGGAAGTTTTAATTCAAATATCCAGATGTCTAGCTTGCCAATGGGCATTTGGCATCACTACAACAAAACATGTGCATGGCTAAAATTGTTCTCTTCTCCACTGCATCGTATGGCAGGACCTTCCCAAAAGCTTGGTGGAATTATTTTACCAAGTTCCAAGAAAGAATTCAAACCATATTCCCTATATGCTGTTGAAATGACTTGTGGAACAAAGTTATAGGAATACATAAATAGATAAGTGACTGGTTAACAATAAACAAATGGCTAATTCATGCACATGAAAGATTTAGGCAGTGATATTCACACATATGGCACTGCTAAATGAAAAAGACATTTCTGTATCTAAAAATAGTATCAGTACCAGAACTAGTGAATAATGTTTTATTTTTCCAAAGGTCAACAGGATATTACTTAGTCTGCCAAATTATAATAGCTAGAGCCCAGTCATTAGTGGCAAAGTCAGGAACAGCAGTAATGATTTTGACCCTAGAAATTTCAATCCTACTTTCAATGAGTTAATCAGAAGAAGTCATATACCTCTCTGAAATGCTTTAAATATGACATATTTGAGTTATTCTTCAGAATATATTTATCAAACATGTGTGCTGTTAATAAATATTTATGGGGGCATAAAAGTATATTCACATATTTCTCAACATGTTGTGATCTATCTTGTATCTCAGCATAGTTTCTGTTGTATGATAGAATGTTTAATTTTAATAAGGGTGCTGACCTAGCCAGTAAAATCAATCTTTTTGTCAAGATTACCAGAACTTTTTAGGAAGATAAATAAATACATGGTTGCTTTTAAAAAGAGTTCTCTTTGATACTTCCAATTGTTTCAGATAATCCTAACTTTCCCTTATTGCTTATTTATATTAGAAACACACAGTTAAGACCTATTTCGAAGTAATTATATATTGCACTTCTTTTATATGACTTATTTAGTTAGTATCTACTAGCAACTCAACTTGTCCCATAGAAAAGAGGGAAATTTGCATTTAAAAAGCTAGAGAAGCTGTCTGAATGTTACCATGAGCTAGCCACAAAAGAAGAAGAAATGTTACTGGATCTGCATTTTACTGCCTGGTACTTGACACATCAAGTGTCAACTGGAACCAAATCAAAAATCTTATGTATGTGCATTTCTAGTAAGACTGCTTTCTGGTAGACAAATGAGAGAATACTGATTTGACATTGCAACTTCCCTAATCATTCTAGCTTTAGTTATAAAAATACAGCAAAGAATATAGCTAATCCACCCCTTCTGTCACACAGTCACTTTGAGTTTAACCAGGGAAATCCCAAAGTTTGTCCTTTGAAACTCAAAGACTTTAAAGGTTTCAATACTACAGAGGAAAAACATTCATTTAGGATGAATTTCAACTTTTACCTTTCACAATTATTTTTTGTTGAAATGTTACTTTTAGAGTACCATTGAAAATTTTATTTTTTACCAATTCCTTACGTCTGTTTGAAACATGATTTCTTAGTAATATTGTTTAGAGGTCATTCCACATACAATTGCAGAGCTGAAAAAATCCTTGGAGATACATCTAAAAAAATCTTTCATTCATTTTTAAGTTATTATGGAGTTATTGTGATAGTTATTATGGAGTTATTGTGATAGTTATTATGGAGTTTTAGACATATTGATAAAATGGACATGTTTAGACATACTTTACCAATATAACTGTCTAATAACATATTGGTAAAATATATCTAAGTTATTACGGAGTTATTATGTTTTAGACATATTGGTAAAAGTCTTACAACGAAAGTATAAAAACATCAAGTGAAAAGTTTATTACTCCACTTTTAAAGAACAGTAGGAAAACATTTTGTAATTATTTAAAGAAATTAAAATATTTACATAATCAAATAAATTAAAATCTTTAATTGTATGTTTAAAGAACTGGTTTTAAAAGGATAAGCTTATCATCCATTAGAAAAGTACACTTCTGTTGTGCATTTTTGTATCTGAAAATATAAGAATATAAATAGCAATCTCATATTTTTCAATATGTGTAACTTTTAAGTTACCTATACACATATTATATTTGAAATAACTTCAAGAATGTTACTTAGGTGTTGTCTTTTTACAATAGTGAATACTAACTTGGAAAACTGTAAATGTATTTTTCTCTCTTTCCTATCTATAACCAGTTTTAAGTGAGAAATCATTCTTAGAATCCATACTTTAAAGTAGCAAAGAAGGGAAAGTTATAAAATACTTTGGGGGTTAAAATCTGTATCCTGATCAGTAAATTTTATGACCCAAAGTGAGTCCCCTGTGGTATCATTTATTATAGCTAAAATGATTGGAACTGGGGGTCCATGACACTATTACCTGTTTCTGTAGATTTATTGAAAATTAGCAATTCCATTTATATCTATGAGATTTCAGGGATTACACAGTTATAGACTAGAAAATTGATAGATTTATGAGTCTAGTGAATCTAGTTGTACCGACTAATACAGCGAAAGAGAAAATTTAGAGGTTTGTACTCCTAAAGGAGTTAACCTTTGGATAAGGAAACATTTTTCAGGTAGAATATGAGAAATTATTGAATCCATAAATTGTCACTGCTGCAAAGTAAAAAAGAGAGAGAGAGGAAAAAAAAAAAAAAACCAACAGCACAAGTTCAGCTTTTACATGAAAAATAATGAAAAGCAAAAGATACCAAAAACAAATAGTACTATCATTTGGTTTGCTAATAAAGTGGCTCGTAGGGTTATTTATTACTCGAGTGTAATACCTCTTGGTTCTAGCTTTTCTTTTGGGCTGCCTTGCTTCAAATGGTATGAAAGGACTTGTGGAGATTTGTAATCATAGATTCCACATCACATATCCCTCCTAACCCTTAGCACTCACTGCCCCTGGCACAAATTGGACATACAATTAATAGTTCTTGTTTGTTGTTAACAATCAAATACATACATATTGACTGCCTCTGATTTATGCTAATAACAGGAATACCAGCTCAGTTTTCAAAATATCGTATGGATATGGTCTGTCTTCTAATAATATGGAACTTAACAATATCTTCTTTTGTTGTAGAAAATAGAAACAGTGATCATTTGCTTTATGTCTTTCTAATTTTATTAGGCATAAAGTTTTATTAAATTATAGTCTAATGACACATACTAGTGAAATTATTTACTACATTGTTCCCTGTTTAATTATTATTTTCTTACACCAAAAATTACATATGTATAAGTACCTTATAGCAGAGCTATTTAACTTGTGCACATAGTAAGGATATACTGGTTGTTGGCAGCTACCATTTGTTTCGATGGTTCTGAACCCATGTTGAATCAATGATTAAGGATTTTAAAAACTCATTCCCATTTTAAAGTGTATTGCAGGAGTTCCAAATAAATATAAGGCATAATTTCCTATCTTTGAAAACTTTAAAGTTTTTTTTAAATGAAAACACATTTACACACACACACACATGAAATGGGCTTGAAAAAAGTAATAGATATAATTCAGGACATCACCTGGAGGTGGAGCAGATATCCTGAAACTAATGGATTTGAGTTAGGTCTTGAAAGATAAGGAGGTTTTCTTAAATAAAGTTCAGTGACGGGAATGTTTCAAGCAGTGGGAACTGCTAGCTTAATGTGTAGTGGTCATAAAGAACAAATGTCATTTGTTTTTTCCTTTTGGCTTTGTGAATGGAGAATAACTGATAGAAATTAATATTGGATAATCAAAGAGAAACTTTTCAGTTGTTAATAGCATTCCTCTAGTTATCAACCTGATGGCCAAAATGCCTATAGAAAAATTTAGACAAATCTTTTTAATCATTTCTAACCACTGTCACAAAACAATGTTGCAAGTGCAAAATTTAAACAAGATACATCTAATTATATTCTCCTACGACACAACCTTTTTTCTATTGCAAGTAAAAAGTTAAACTAACGTATTCAGGCTTGGTTTTTTTTTTTTTAGCATTTCTATACCTTACAAAATTCTTTTTAGATTGAAATGGAGAGTTAACAAATGACAGCATGTAGGAAAAAGTAGAAATGAATTCTCCAGTTCCATAAATATCTTTGTGAAGCAAAGTCCACATAATTTTTTTCATTAAAATTCACAACATGAAGGCCAACTTTTGTTTTTTCAGCAACAGATGAAAATTGTTTTCTAAGGTCTTTGCATGCTAGCATTTAGCCTTTTCCTTGGTCTAATACTAAGTAACAGCCCCGTATTAAGCAATTTTAAACCAGGTATTCGATTTAAGACAGACATGTCAAATTTTGTAGTAAATGAAATAGATATTTAATGACACTTAATGTGCAGTGATACAGCATAATATAGATGGTTTGGCTTGGAAGAGACTTGCAAATATTATGGCATTGGAGCAGAGCAGCTGAAAGCTTAGCATAAGTCCATAAGATATTCAGCTACAGAAAGATTTCATAAGAGAAAGATCAAGAAAAATAATACATTTACTTGAGAATGTGAAAATTACCTTGGAACATTTGCTATTTGCATTCTATCTTGGAATATGCCAAGGTGTTTGTAGCTTAAGTTTTTTATTCCTTATGCTTATTGAAAGTTCTTACGTTTCAAGAGAATAAATACTTACTTCTGGGTAAGCATACTTCTGAATTTAGAAAAACATATACGATTACTCTAAATAACCATTAGAATATAACTTAACAGTATGTGTATGACCCTGTAATAAAATATGCTATATCTTATGTAGTTAGCTGAGTTGTATTCTTTGTAACTGAAAGTAAATAGATAATATATGTTTGTGTATATACATGTAATATGGAGCATATAATAAAACATAAAAACCATTAATGATTATATCAATCACCAATAGCCACTGTTACTAATATGAATGTGTTTCCTTACGGTATTTTATTTATATACAGATAGCTTATTTTGCTCTGACAAAAGGAATTGTAAAATATTCTGGAGATGCTCACATGGGTTTACAACAACCTCTATATCCTTAATCAAAGAACAGTTTTATTCTTTACGACAACATCCTTCTAGAGGGAGTGAATACAAAATGAAACAGTGAGATCTTGCCCAGCAGGTAAGATCAACTACAAATATGCTAACAAATAAGAGCAGGAGATGTTTCTTGAAACGAGGGACAGGCAGCTAAAGAGGTAAATATAGAGGAACATATCTGTTGTTTGGACTAAATAGGGATTGGACGATAAGCAATTTAATGGAGAAAATGTTTAAATCTGAAAAGGTGTCATGAACAGACTATACTTATTGAGAAGTAAGTCCCTTATCCAATCTGATTGGGATAAAAAGGCTTGACTATGGCTAAATTAACCCTGCATGAGACCAAGAAAGGATTTTCTATTTTTTTTTTTTTTTTTTTGAGACGGAGTCTCACTCTGTCACCCAGGCTGGAGTGCAGTGGCACAATCTCAGCTCACTGCAAGCTCTGCCTCCTGGGTTCACGCCATTCTCCTGCCTCAGCCTCCTGAGTAGCTGGAACTATAGACACCTGCCACCACGCCCGGCTAATTTTTTGTATTTTTTAGTAGAGACGGGGTTTCACCGTGGTAGCCAGGATGGTCCCGATCTCCTGACCTCGTGATCCCCCCACCTCAGCCTCCCAAAGTGCTGGGATTACAGGCGTGAGCCACCGCGCCCCGCCTTTTCTTTTTTTTAAAGTGAGGGGTGAGGGACAGAAAAGAAAGGAAGAAGGAAGAGAAGGTGACAGTGGAGCCAGGAGATAGCAGAACATCATATTACAATTTGTAACCTTCTCTATAATTTTTCACATCCCGTAATACAGCCATTGCCTCTACCCCTGCCCACCTAAGTCTTCAACATAGACTTTTAGAAAACACAACTATTTTCTGTGAATGGGTTTCTTGTAGAAACCAGTGAAGGCATTGAGATTTGAGTCAAGGTGATGCAAAGCAAAAGGCTGAAAACAAGTACGAAGAAGTAAGGTGCAGTCTCAAAGACAGCAAACATGCTATCTGGCTTCTGGAGTCCCATAGGACCGTAGACACAAGGTTTAGGTTAAGTTCAACTGGGTTTCTGAGGGTCAGGGTGACCCATATGAATACAGATTATGTATTTATACTGAGTCATATCTTATGTTCATAAAACATATCTCCCTCATCATTAACATTTTAGCAACATTTTGTTTTAATTGGCTATATAATATCATTGTGCTAGAGTATTACAGCTTTTGCATCTCACCTGTTACTTGTTTCCAGTTTTTGCTATTTAAACAAAACTGTCAACAGTACTTGTACATAAACTAGGCAAGCAAGTCCTATTACCTTGTTAGGTGGAAAAATTAAATGTTTACAAATTAAGATATACATTGTTAAATCTCTTTATAAGGATTTGTATTAATTTTCACTGGCAGCATCCAGGTATAGATTTATCTGTTTCATTATACGATTGCCAGCACAGAGTATTATATTTTAATGATATTTTACTCTTTTAACATTTAAAATATTATGTATAGGGATTTATTTAAGATACTTTATAATAGTTTCTGCCCTCACATTTTTACATGGGAGTTAGGAGTCATTGGAGCAAATCTGAAGAAGTCAGTAAAACTGATCATTTGAGCCAGGAATTGGTCAGTAACCAGTTAAGGGTTAAGGCATATCTATTACTTTTGTATTATATAAACTTGAGTTTCTTATCTTTCTGAGAGAATATAGATATTTAGTAGGGGTCTCAAAAATAGACTGAGATAGGGAAAAATGGTTTACTGATAAATGAGATATAGTGCAATATCAACACGGAACTTCTGTCCCTTTCACTCGGTGAGGACTCAGGTAATGGCATCATTTTTGATGCAGAGAGAGAGCCCTCTCTAGATACTGAATCTGCTGACTCTTTGATCTTGGACTTCTCAGACTCCAGAACTGTGTGTAATACATTTCTGTTGCTTGTTATAGCAACCCAAATGACTAAAATATGAGCTGAGATGCTAATATAACAAATAGCTAGGCAAATTGCTTACTGATTTAAATCAGTCAGATCAAAAAGAACATGCATTCCACCAGGTGCCATTATTTTTAGAAACCAGTTATCACGGGGAACAAAGAGGCAAGGTAAACTAAGTGACTCTGAAATCAGGGCAAGCTAGAAAAATAAACTATGGGAAACAGGTAAGACATAATTTCCGTTTCTAGGGGAGTGATAGAAGACCAAGAAATGTCCCACAGGGGCCACTGGAAGAGCCAAGGCAGTATTGATCATTCTGGTGCTAGTGGTTCCAACCAGACCAATAGTAGGCCTTCTACAAAACTGGCATCTCGGGGAAGAGATTATGTGAATATTCAGAAGAGTCAAAGGACCACTTCTAGGCTATGGAGCCTCCTTCTATCTATAATTCTCTCCTAAGCTGTTTGTTCAGTATCAGATGGAAATCAGATGCAATGTGGGCCCCCTGCTTCAGGGTTTAATCAGTTTGGATGTAGCCAAGTTCACCTGGTAATAAACTCCCAGGTGGCTGCCATAAGAAGCTACATAGGACATTGTGACATAGAAATTATAAACATCAGTGTGTCTGAGAGTGAAGAAACTGCTTTCAAGTTGTACACAACTTGGAAGCTAATCCCCAACTCTTTTGCTTATAATGCACAAAGCGAAGAGAGGAAAGAGAAACATTCACTTTGAGTACACTCTTAGCAGGACACCAGACAGTTTAGACTATAAGGAAAATAGAGGATAAGAGAGCAAAAGAAGAAAGGAGGGAAAATAATAGTTTTCTCTAGGCTGGGGACACATAAGATATTGTCCCTTTGTTTTATTGGTAGGATGGCATGAATAGTAACCATTTACCTATACCTTGTATACCCTCTCAGAACGTCAACAGAAAGCAGATAAATCAAAAGGCAGATACAGCTTTTGGTAAGATTTATTTTATTTTAAATTGACAATAATTTTATATATTTGTGGAGTATAGAGTAATATTTTGATACATGTGTACATTGTGGAACGATCAAATCAGAATAATTAGCATATCCATCACCTCAAATATTTATCATTTATTGTGGTTAGAACATTTAAAATCTCTTTTAGCTATTTTGAAATATACAATATAGAGAAGAATATGGCCAGGCATGGTGGCTCATGCCTGTAATCCCAGCATTTTGAGAGGCCAAGGCAGGAGGAGCACTTGAGGTCAGGAGTTCGAGACCAGCCTGGCCAACATGGTGAAATCCCGTCTCTACTAAAAATACAAAAATTAGCTGGGTTTGATGGCGCATGCCTGTAGTCCCAGCTACTTGGAAGGCTGAGGAGGGAGAATTGCTTGAACCCGGGAGGCAGAGATTGCAGTGAGCTGAGAAGCTGAGATTGCACCACTGCACTCTAGCTCTAGCCCGGGCAACAGAGTAAGACTCTGTCTCGAAAAAAAAGAAAAAAAAAAAGAGAGAGAGAAAAGAATATATCTGAATATATATATTCAGATAAAAATCTACAAATAAGTTTTTCCATTTTAGCTTTTTGTAAACAGTAGGCAATGAAATTAGAAACTCTCATTTTGCACATGAAAATACATCCCTCATTTTCAAGGCTCAGCACTGAGGATATGGTGAAGAAAAGATAGACTCCACTTTTCAGCCTAGGTGTCTTGTTGGGCAATCTGTATGGATCACAAAGCAACCAGCATGTACAAGGAAAGACAGAAATGTTTGAATGTATTGATTATCCTAATATCTGCTTTGCATCATTTTTGTTCATTTCTGGAACTAATTACCAGTGGTTCTTAACATTCCAAGATAAGAAAAGATGATATGATGTGTTTTAGTCATAAACCACTGAGCATTTCATATTCAGTTGAATCTAAAATTGGGTAATACCTATATCTCTTAAAGAAATTACATTATTTCTAAAGGGTTAAACTCGTAATCCATAAATAGAAGTTTGTATATGTAAAAACTGCTTCCAAAGGCAGTAAGATGAAATTATTTCTCTTTCATCTGCTTTCTGTCTTTATCTCTTTTGTCCATGCTCTCTGACAGGCAGTACATGTGCCCTTACTCCCTAGTGACTTAAATATATTTTTATAAGTTTAAAACAAATACATTGCTGAAGGACATTCTCTAACTGCACATATATACTTATATGGGCAATTCATGGCTGTGAGGTCAGTCTTTTTCTTTTATCAATATTTTAGAGCCACCATAGCCAAAATAACTAATGGCATGAAAAGCTATTAATCTGCTCGCTAAGATGATAAGCTACCTTAAGACAAAGTTAAAATATATGCTTCTCCTTTATTTTGATTAATCAGCAAGTATGCCTTCTTTTCATTTATCTCTCTCATTCATTTGTAACAAATTAAGCTCAGTTAGAAGTTGGAAACATTTCAAAGGTATTCATTCTTTAGAATAATGATAGAGGACCTATTCTGTAAAAAAAAAAAATGTTTGGGAAAATTAATCTCCCCTATTCACTAATATTGTATTGGAATTTTCTGAGTGACATGTGTGACTACAAAAACTGATGCATAACAGTGTTCTATCCTTGCTAAGCATATGTGGAGACACATCTTTGGCTCACAACTCTGGATATCCTTCCAGATTCTGGGATATAATCCCTGCCTCCACACAGTTTATATTCTAATATAAAAAAGTAGAGAATTGTAAGAAAAATTAGACTAAAGAGTAAGAGGAGAGAAACAAAAAGTTTGAAATGGGATAATTAAGGTGGGAGACAGAATGAAATTACGGCAGAGGGGTAGCTGAGATCAAGGGGTGTGCTGGAGCAAGTTCGAATAGGGTTACACAGCCTTACTGCTAAATTTTCAGGAATTTTGTGAACGCCTTTTTGAACTTTTGTATCTTAAAGTTAGCCATGGTAGGAGCATTTACACCATAGAAATCAGTAAATGCTACAAATCAGGACTCTTCTACCCCCAGAGAGCGGGTTGTTAAACATTTACCAACACATCACTACCCAAAGCACTAGGGTTTCACAGGTATATTAGTTCGTTCTCACGCTGCTTGTAAAGACATACCTGAGACTGAGTAATTCATAAAGGAAAGCGGTTTAATGGATTCACAGTTCCACATGGCTGGTGAGACCTCACAATCATGGTGGAAGGTAAAGGAAGAGCAAAGACACGTCTTACATGACAGCAAGGAAGAGGGCATGTGCAGGGGAACTCCCCTTTATAAAACCATCAGATCTCATGAAACTTACTGACTATCACGAGAACAGCATGGGAAAAACCTGCCCTCATTATTCAGTTACCTCCCACTGGCTCCCTCCCACAACATGTGGGGATTATTATAATTCACGGTGAGATCTGGGTGGGGACACAGAGCCAAACCATATCAATAGGCATAGTAACATAGATTACAAATTCGATGGGAAACTATTAAGACAGTTGTGTGCATGGCAATAAAAATATCTTTTCTGACTACTTCATTAAGAGCAGACCATGAGGACAGTGGGGTGGGGGGCGGGAGGCAGGAAGGGAGCAAGAGTGGAAACATAGAATCCCTTTAGAAAGCTTTTTGTAGTTGTCACTAAAAAATTCCCCAGCTCTGTGGAGCCAGAATCTCCCAGTCTTCTGGTTATTCATAAATGAAGAATCTTTTAGCAGATTTATATGACTTCGGTCAGAGTTGTCTGAAAGTAGGCATCTGATAGTAATGGCATGAATCCAAAAAATCTACGGCCGAAGATGACTGAGAAAACTCATACGTCTTATTTTAAGGTATTGGTACAGTCAGTTTGTTAATTGCTATGAGACATTAGCCCACTGCTAAGCTTTGGGTCACAAAATAATTGCTTTAAATGTATGTTTGCTCTTGATGAAATGTTAATATACTCCAATGCTAAATTTTGTCCCCAAACTCCAAAAAGAAACACTCATACTTTCTGAAAATGGAGACTAGAAGGGAGGGGGAAACAAGGAGGAAGACTAGTTTCTGAAATTGCCTTCAAGATTCTCATGTTCTTCTCCCTGAACTGCTCCTTCAGGTAAAGAGGAAAAAAAGGTGTAAAGGAGATGATTATGGAAAAATAACTTCTTCCAAAAAAAGCCTCTGAGAATTGAAGCCATCCAAAGAACCAAAGAAATTCTTCCTCCTGCACTACTACCTCAAGCATAAATGGTGTTTGATTAAAACATTGTCTGTTTAATGTAGCAGTCTATTAGCTATTGGACCCTGTTTATATCACCAAGCTAAATACACTAAGCCTACTTGTGATAACGAGTAACTTAGAATATGTAATGTTTTGCTATTTTTTTGTTTTGTTTTTATATTCTAACAGGTGCTAATATTTTTCTGAAAAAAGATATTTTTAAGTAATCATTTTATTTACAGTATAACATACATACCAGCTCAATAATTATTCACCCATTCTAAGTAGCTTCAAATTAAAAAAAATATATTAGCAGCATCTCAGAAAGTCTCACTTTCCACTCTGTCACTAACCCCTCCAAAAGTAATCACTGCCTTAACTTATAACGTTCAAAATCATGTTGTTGCGTGTAGCAATATAACATCTTTTATTCTTATTGTTTTATAATAATATACTGTAAAAATATTCCATACTGTATTTAAATAAGTTATTTAATTATCCTGTTAAGTTACTTCCTGTATTTACCTCTTATGAATAATACAGCTGTGAACATTCTTTTAAAGATTTTTTGATGAACTGCTACGTATATTTCCTTTGGACATATATCCAGGAGTGGAACTGGTGTGTCAAAGTGTACACATGATAAACTTTAGTATATATTGCTAAGGTTAAAGCTGGTTACAAGAGTGATTTCAATAGTGTTTTGCCATTTGGGCTCCACTGCGGTGTAAAAAAATCCCAGTGTGCCAAATTCTTATGATATTTGGTACTGTAAGTCCTTTAATTGCAATGCTATTCTGATGTATATATAATGGTTATTTATTTGCAATTTAAAGTTTTATCTCCCTGATGACAAATAAGAATAAGTTATTTTTCCTATATTTATTGGCTATGTAGATATCTTCCTTTATAAGGTGACATTTTAAGTTGTTTAACAATTTTTCTATTGGGTG
The DNA here is from genome assembly GCF_000001405.40 of Homo sapiens. Taxonomy (NCBI): domain Eukaryota; kingdom Metazoa; phylum Chordata; class Mammalia; order Primates; family Hominidae; genus Homo; species Homo sapiens. The sequence continues at coordinate 57,633,168 of NC_000002.12, forward strand.
ATCTTTCTTTTTTTACTGATTTAAGTTTTTCATCATTTTAAAAAAATGAGTCCTTTATCCTATCTCTGTGAGTTAAACGTTCACTATTTTAAGGGTGTTGTTCAATAAACAGAAAGTCTTAATATTAAATGTAGCACAATTAATCTTTTTTTTCCTCTTTACAGCTAGTATTTTTGTGTCCTGTTTAAAAAAAACCTTGTATACCTCAAAGTCATGATGATACTCTGTTGTGTTTTTTTATAGAAGGTTGATTGGTTTCTCTTTCACAGATCACTGATCCAGTTAGAAATCATATGTCTTTACGGTATGAAATATAAGTCAAGGTTAGTATATGAAATTTTATACTTCAGTAAATTGTATCATTTTATTTCATTTACAATTATTTATGGCTGGTATATAAAAATAAAATTTATTTTTGTATATATATGTATGTATGTGTGTATATATATATTATCTAATGATCTTAACATTATTTCTAATAGCTTGTCTCTAAATACTTTTATATTTCTATGGGCATAATCATATTATCTCCAGATAGTTAAATTCTTCCTTTTCTAATACTTATGCTTTTCTTTTACTTGCTTTATTGCAATGACTAGAACCTGTACCGCCATATTGAATAGAATTGGTAGCATAGGCATCTTTGTCTCATTCCACATCTCCAAGGAAAATTTGTTGACAACTCACGAATAGGCAGATGTTTTTATGGGCTTGCATATTTGTTTGTTTTGGAAAATATTCTTAAGATATTAAAGAAGTTCACTTCTATTAATAATTTGTTTAGCATTTTTCATAATGCATGGGTGTTGAATTTTATCAAAAGTTTTATAGTATTTATTGGGTTTATCTTAAGATATATCTCTTTCTATGCCATCAAGGTAGGGTTTACATTTATTGATTTTCAAATGTTAATTCAGTCTTTAATTCCTAGAATAAAATCTCTTTTGAATATTTTATCTTTCCTTTACATCACTGGATTTGATTTAACTCAGGTTATGGTATAAAGGTTATGATGGTCTTTTAAAACATTGACAAGTTTTGCCTCTCTTTTATTTGTATCCTGAAAGCATTTGTTCAATATTGGAGCTATTTCTTTTTTAAGCGGTTGGAAGAATTCATTAGTGAAAACATTTAGCTTGACATTTTCTTTATTGGAAGGCTTTTAATAATGTATTAAATATTTTTATAGATACAACTATTCCAATTTTCTATTTCTTCTTTTGTCAGTTTTGTTAATATGTGTTCTACCTTCAGGAAATTGTCTACTGCTCTGCATTTTTAAATTCATTGCTACAAATTTGTAATGTTTTCTTATTATATTTTTATGTTTGTATAATCTATTGTGGTTAGCCTTTTTCATTTCTTACTTTGGTAAATTGTACCTTTTCTCTTTTTTTCCTTGAACAGATTGATTAGATGATGATTAATTTTATTAAAATTTTTAATGAACTAGCTTTTGGATTTGTGCTTTCCTCTGCTATATGTTTGATATGTGTTTCATTATTTTCTGTTCTTATTTTTATGATTTCCTTTATTCTAATTTCCTCAGTTTTGAATATTGTGTGTCTCCATTTTCTTGAGATAATTGGATAAATTTTAACCTTTCCTCTCCAACATATGAGCTTAAAGTAATAAATTTCTCCCTAAGCCCAGTATTAGTTACATTCTACAAGTTCAATCTGCTTGATTTTCACTATTGTTCAGCTCAAAATATTTATCAATTTATAATGTAGTCTTAGACCTTTGTGTTACTGCAGAAATGTCATTTTAAATTTCTAAACATTTTTTAATTTTCTAGTTAACTTTTCAGATTTTTTAGAAAACATACTTCAAATTATTTCATTGCTTTGAAATTTTAGGGACCTGTTTTATGACCCAGCATATCGGTAAATTGGTGAGTATTGGTAAATATTTTATATACACATGAAAAATACGTGCCCTGTCAGTTAATACAGTTATGTTAAAGTCTACCATTATCATTTTGAATATGTTTATCTACAACCATATAAAAATATTAAAATATGCATTACTATATAAAAATGTAAGTATACTACCTTTCTTATATAGCAACTGTTACCTTTTTCTGTTTTTTCTTTATCATTTCTACATTTATATTTTATGTGTAGCATATGTTGTGTTTTACCTTTTCATCTATCCTGACAATTTTTTAATTGGGGTTTATTCTCCATTTATTTATAATGCAATTAATGACATATTTAGTTTAATATCCCACCATCTTAATATTTGCTTTCTCTTTTTCCCACCTGATCAGTTCCTTTATTTTCCTTTCACCTACTTTTGGGTTAAATTCCCTACTCTCAGCCTGAAAAGCTCCCTTTACTATTTCTTTGAGTATGAGTTTGCCAATGAAAAATCTCTATCAGTTTTTCTTTATGTGAACATGTCTTCATTACACCATCACTTTTAAAGCATATTTTCACTGTGTATAGAATGGCATAGTATGTGTATAGATTAACAATTACTTTATTTCAGCACTTTAAAGGTGTCATTTCATTGTTTACTGGTTTCTAATCTTTCCTCTGTGATTCTTTCCTCTCTAGGATCTTAACCTGAATAGCTCTCCACCACCTCCAAGTAGATGGTTATCATATTTCATCCATCTTTCCTAGCTACTTGCGGCAGAAGCATTGTCTGCCACAAGCATGGGTGCCCCTAAGTGGAAGTCTCCAAAGTAACCATTCACTTACTTTAAAAATGGGCCCCTTAAGGAACTTAAGTATAATGTTTTGATTGTCAGGAAATACACACTAAGCCAGCAACTCAGAGAGGATACAATCTGGGCTTCCACATTACTTCTAATTCCTTGTATTGTATCATAACTAATGTATGTCTATCATTTCTTAAAGATCATATAAAGTTTGTGAAAAAATAAAATTAATAAAATACCATGTTTGCTCATTGAGTTTTAGAAAATTTTTTAGAAACATTTAAAACAACTTTTTAAAATGCTTAATTAAATGGAGAGTTTTAAATGTACTTAATAAAGATATCTTTTTTCTGACATATACAAGTATGTAAGGAATAAGACTGACTTGAAGCATCACAGTGACATAAGAAATATAAATTTGGAAGTATATTATTATGCAAAAAAGAAGTCACTTGATGTTAATTAAATCTGGAACAAATTTAGTATCATGCTTAGTGACCAAGTCATGGCTCTTGACTTTCAGGCGAATATAACTCATACAATTAAGAAAAAAATTCTAGGCTTCAAAAGTGTATGTAACAGTCAGGATCCCAAAAGGAAAGAAACGGTACACTTAAATTATAGTAAACCAAGAATGAGTTATTTACAAAGACACTCTGTGTGAGTAAAGGAGAACCAAAAGGAATAGTGCAGTAATCTGACATGAGTAGCTGTGAGGCTGCTGTAACTCTTTAGAACTAAAGAGACAAAGAGAGAAAGGAAACATTACCAGAACTAGAAGAAAAGAGGTATACACAGAAAATCACTTTGGAAGGAACAATAATATTAGTTGGAGGATCACAACTGAATCCAAGAAAATCCTGTAGGGAAAGAGCTAGCAAAATAAATACCCAGAATACCCTGACATGAATCCCCTTTCTTCTTTCTAAGCCCCCATTAACCAAACCTAACCAGAGATCAGAGAATGTGGGAAACCACTGTTTGGGTGGATACCAGGTTAATCTCTCTGGGAAAGGAGCAAAGCAAGGTAGAGAAAGGTGGAGAGTGGCAGCTATCTGGAGCAAAAAGACCTGGAATTTCTGTTTGCTATCATATCTTTACCTCCTTTACCTCCTTCTGCATGTTTAATTATTATGTACTAAAATATAATTTCAAATCAATTAGGCTTTGGATATTTAGGCAGATTTCATTCAGATAGATGATGAGTATTTAATTCTACAGTAAGTACACATTTGTATCTTGTGCATATAAAATATCAGGAATGAGGTTTTGGGGACAGTCAAGGGACACAGATCCATCAGAAAGATCCCTCAGAAGGTTCTACTCCAATAGTTATGGAAATAAAATGGCATAATTAGTTCACCTGGGAACATTTTTGAATCTTTAAAAAATCACATGGCATTGCAATTCCCTATAAGGAAAACTAGATTAAAGAAACCAGTAATTAAAATAGAGAACTTCAGATGTATTTAATGGAGATGTTCTTTACTAAAATACTAGGAATAATATTGGCTTGAAGCATTACAGTGATTTAAGAAATAAGAAGTAGGAAGCATGGAGCTGGCTAAGGTACAATATTTATAGACAGTTTTTGGATGTAAATCAAAACTCTACCAGGAAGGTTTAGAAAGGAATGGATACTTCATTAGGTAAGGTTCAATCTACAACTGTGAGTCAATTGAAAGTTAATAGCAGCTTTGTTAAAGGTCATAGATAAATGGCTGCTGTAGTTTTAATGAATATTTTATTCATGTCACCTTTAAATTAGTTAAATTTTGAAAGAATAATGAAGTAATGCCAAAGGCTCCTTCCAGGATCATTGAAAGTGTAATTTAATTTTAAGGCTTTAGAACAAGTTTCAAAGTCTGATACAAGGCTTTTAAGTTTGTGGAGTCTTTTTTCTTTTTACCATTTATTGCATGTTAAAATTTGCTTTTTAAAATATATGTTTTGCAACAATAATATAGCAGAAATAGCAGGGAATTTACAATAATGTATGACTTGTTTTGAACCCCAAATTCATTAGTTATTACCTTAGCAAAACTGGAGAAAAATCATTTAATTTCTTTGAGCCTCACTTTTGTCTTCTGAGAAATGGGAAATACTAGAATTTCAGGGGATTAATTAAGGTTTTCTATTAATATCCTCTGCAGATTTGTCTTGGTAAGAATAGAGCTTCTTTTATGTGATTCAACAGCTAGCAAATCTAATAAAATAAAGAGACACACCTAGGTAATTTTCTTTGTAAACAGTATAATTTGAGCATTACAAAACTGAAGCTCATGAATTGTGAAGGTCAATTATAGAGAAAAGAATATGTAACAGTTGCAGTCAGAAGAGAGACTGGAAATAGAATTTTTACATGAGACCCTCAGATAGTTAGAAGAGGAAACCTAAACAAAAGAGGTATGTATCTGGCAAGACTAGCCTCAGAGTCATGGCTCAGAAACAGGCGTCAAGGATGAGAAAATGGAAAAACAAGATGAAGGAAAAGGAGGTAGGTCAATGGACCAAGATGCTGGGGAATCCAGTTTATTTAAGTACATGGAGGACACCTGCCTTGGATCATTTGAAAAGTCCAGGTGAGCACTCAGGCCGTGCAGTCTTTAAAAGGCTTTATGAGCCTCTGAAATCATTCTCCCTTTTTAAATAACAAAATGCCCTAAAGAGCAATGAAAGTATGGAATGTTACCAATGCTTTCCTTAGAAATCAGTTACTGAAGCTTTATTAGATAAAGCTTGTAAAGCATTCTGGGATCAGAAAATAATAATTTAAGTAATTGAAAATTTTCTTGTTAGTTGGCCACAAACTATTGGCCATTTCTTAAAATCAGTAAATGTCTTTTAAAAGCTAACTTTTCAGACAAAATATGAACTGCTATATAATTGCTTGACCACTTTACAACCAAACCCATAGCACAAAAATCTGATAGAAATTGACTTAGTCACAAACCCATAACTGCTTGTGTTCATTTTTCTGAAGTGTTAGTGAATTATTATTCAAAAATACATTATACATAAAATGAATTTGTTTTCAATTTATAATTAATTGCCTTTGGAATTACCAGACAAGCAGGGAACTAATTAATGATTTCTTAATGGACTTCGTCTAAGGCAAGCTAGTTCCAAATTGCAAAGTCCTTTTACAAAAGAGCATAATTAATGTTTGCATAACTATTTAGAGATTCATTTGTTCATTCAACAAATGTTTATTTGCACTTTACTCTGTTCCCAACCTTATTTTAGGAAATATGAATAGAGCAGTAAATTAACATGCCTGACCTTATGGTGCTTACATTCCTGTGGAAAAAAAACCAACTGATTAAAACAAAAAATCTAAACAAATAATGTACAAGATAAATTCAGGTGGAAATTAGTGGAAAAAAAACAAGTGAGAAGATACAAAATAAGGGTATGGTATTTTAGATAATGCAGTTAGAAAAGGCCTCTCTGAAGAGATGCTTTTTAGTAGAATCTTGAATAAAAAGAGAAAGCATGCCCTACAGATCTCTGGAGAAAAAGCATTTAGGGAAGAAGGAATGGCAAGTGCGAAGGGCCTGAGGTAGGAAGTTGTCTGATGTGTTCAAGGAAGAGGAAAGAAGCTTATTTAGCTAAGGTAAGTGGGTAGCCAGAAACCAAATAATAAGGGCCTTGTAAACCTTTAAAGGGTTTTGTGCAGGGGGGTGTTGAAATTTGTCTTATGTTTTCACAAAATTAAGTTTTTACTGGGACAAAATACAGTAAGGAGACAGGAAGCCAATTAGGAAGTAAGAGGTCCATTAGCTAGCACACAACAGTTTTGGACAAAGGTGATGGTCATGTAACTTAGGGAAGTAGCAGTGGAGGCAATGATGATGACTTGGATTTGTATATATTTTAAGGAGTGGAATGGGCTAATGATGGATGGGATGAGGTTATGAGAGAGACAATGGAATTAGAAATGACTTCCATTTTTTGCATTTAAAATAGAGTAAAATTATTTTGAGATGGATTGTGCTGGGGGCAGCTAAAATTTGGGGAAGAAAATAAAGATTTCAATTGTAGAATACCTTAAGTTTAAGATGCCTATTAATCATCCAACACAAAGAAGTGAAATGGACACTTGCATATGCACAATAGAAGTTTAGGAAAAATAGCAAAGCAAATGATCTTTGGTCTACAGATGAAGCCTATTGTCTACCTTATAATTTGAAATTACTGGAAATTTTCTGAAGATACTCATATCCATTCTCTTGATCATGAAATCTATGGGGATCCTTAAAGTATGTTTCTCCAGAGTATAGCCTATGGCAGTAATTGCTCTTAAGATACAACCTCAGTGTGTTTCTGATTATTCCAAAAATGGTGGCAGATAGTCCCAATCTTTAGGAAATCTGCCCACAAGAAAGGAAAACCTAAAATGGAAAAAAGTACAAGTTGGATGCTTTCCTAGGACAAAGCTGAGAACAGATGAAAACTGTTTTCTCTGAAAACAGATTTGCTTCTAAACCTGAACTCTGATAGGATACACTTTTGGCTATCCACATTTACACTAGCCACCTTTCGAGGGCTCAGCAGCCCCCTGTTGAAAGTGGCTACCATATTGGACAGCACAGATATAGAACACTCTATCTTCAGGAAAATGTATTGCAAATTAATGAACAGGATTGTTTGAGCTTTTGTTCTTAAATACCAAATTATAAGTGAGGAACTCATTCAAATGAAAACGGAGAATTTTTTCTCTGCTGTCTTCAGTCCTGTTTTATTCTTTATTAGTACTGGATAAAGGTCTTTTCTGTGAGAATGTTCAAAGCCAAACCTGAATCCTTCTTTGCAAAAGAAGATTGATATACTCAATCAGTTCTGAAAAAGACTGTAAACTGTGGAGTGTTCATTTTTGTGGTAATCTTTCACTGTTTGTCAGTTTTCTTCCTTTCACTCCCTTTAATTAAATTATGTGACTTGTGTTGGTCTTTGAAACTTGAGGTGTGTCGTTTTCTGGAGGAAACGTCAACTGCTGGAGCAGGGTTTGCCATGTTACTTTCTCTCTGCCACATTACCTGCCAATGTGGTAAAAGCTCTATGAAATGTGGTCCTTGAGGGAGGACAATGAGGAACAGAGCATAGTCCACATAGAACAGACAGGTAGAATGAGTGAGAAATAACTTTGCTATTTATATTGATCAGCTATTGTTAAATAAGGGTGCAAGAACAAAGAACCCCAAATTTTTAGTGGTCTACAATAACAACCGCTTATTTTTCTCTCATGTTACATGATGGTTTGGGTCAGCCCCAACTCTGAATCTCTACTTTAGAAGTACTCTCCATCCAAGGATGTAGACTTAGGAAGCAGCCCCTGTTTTGCCCTAATGCTAACGAGAAAAGAGGGTGAAACCATGCAATGACCATTAAAGTGTCTGTTTTAATGTGATATTCGTCATGCCCATTCATGTTCCCTTGGCAAAAGCAAAACAAAGAGTTTTGCCCCATGGCAATGGGGTAGGAATATACATTATTCTACAAGGAGGCACTACAAGTCACACAGAAACCAATGGGGAAGGACGATCTGAGCTGAAGGAGAGCAAATAATTGGAAATACTAATATAATCTATATAACCTACTGTTTGTTTCTTCATCATCACACAGTCCATCTTTTCTAATGCAATTAACTACCTCGGATAGAAAGGATCTATCAATGTATCAATTAAAAGTTATTTATTAATTACTTATGGTCTAACAAACATAGATGTTGGAAAATTCTAAATGCCTGCACTTACGCTAACAGGAAGTGTAAATACATTTATGTCAAGCTAAATTCAACCTTATTTCCAGTAGGTCTAGAAATAATAATGTATTAAAAGGTCAATGGAATAACTTAGTAAACATTACTTAGCACATAATAAGATGCCTGAAATTGTGAGCAATGTTTGTTGGATGAATGAATGTAAATGAAATTAGTAAGCTTTGTGATACCCATTACTAATGTATTATATTTCAATTTGGTTAGGAATAAATCATCTCATTATTAAGAATGCTTAAAACCAATACATTGTCCTCCCTTTCTAATGAAGACCTAGGTTAATTACCAGTCTGTCAAAAGACAATGTGATACTCTAGAGAGTATTATAGAAAATTGACTAGTAGAGCTAGGAACCAACCTGCGAAATCATGTGACAGTGAGAAATTAATGTGTGCCATTTGTACATTACAGGCAGAAGTTTAGAAATAATTAAATGGCAAAAATCAAGTAAAATCTTCAAACTTGGCTAGTTACATGGGATTCCATTGAATTCATCAAAATGACTTATTTAGTAAGTAAGCCACATTCCCACTATGTGCAGTCTCCACTCTCCATTCCCAAATTTGGTCTGTGTCAAACCAGAAAGATTGTATTCACTCAAACATTTGTTCATTTAAGAAATCAAGTACTGACTACTTATTGTATATCAGGCCCTGTGGATAAATGAGAGATTCATAGGTCCATTGCTCTTGTCTTCGTGAGCTTCCACACAAGACAGCCAGAATATTGTTCTATTTTTGATGTTGAAGGCAAAATATTTTATATACTTTCAAATGAAAAGTAGAGTTTTAATTAATCCACAAAAAATGGTATAAGAATTATATTCAACAAAACCAAATGAGTTGGAGTCTCAGCATGTCATGTCTTCCATTTTGTAGGGCATAAATTTTAAAACCAAAGCGAATCCCCATTGGTCTTATGCTTTTCAAGTTCCAAGGTGCCATTTCAACTACTAAAAAATTATGTGAACTTTTCTACATGTCCACATTAAAAACAGTAAAGCTAGCTTTACTATTAGCTCAAAACAAAAGGTGGACTGAATAAAATGCATAAATCAAACATCAAAGGGACGAATACATCAATGAGATAAGCAAAATAAAGCAGGATGATGGCAATTTGTTGAAAATCTGTTATGCTGTTTAATGTGCAGACAATTTGGGTCTTATTGTTTTAACTGTTTATACACTTGAATTGCTAAATATTAAGAACAAATCCAAAGGATAGCACCAAAGTTTAGCCTATTTATGTTAACCTAATCACACACAAATTCTAGCCACTGATATATATTTTACAACTCCATTTATCTAGTGTTCAGTTCTCTGGATTTGTGGTTTATAAAACCATTTGCTTTATAAGGCTCTCTTGCCAGCTCCAGTACATTTTTATATAAAAGACAACATATATTAAAATGTAGTAAACATGTCTATGAATTTTGATTTACATGATTGAAGATTTCAGAGTTGTGTAAATGAGGGTTCATACACTATAACTGCTTACAAAAGAAAATACTTTTTTTCATAGAAAATACTCCAACACATATTCCTGGGTGTTCAAAATCATCACATTCATTCAGTGTTGAACAAAAGTATGATTTAACAGAAGGAGTATGTAAATCAAATTCACAAGACCTGAATTTCTCTTCAAGCATAATTAGAAATATTTTTATTAAGTTACAGTTCCCTAATTTCTAAAGTAGGGAAAATAGGGTGAAATATGGATAAGGACATATAGGTGGACATACACAATGTGCTACAAGTTCAGATGTAAACCCAGGTAAATATAAAGTGGATATTCTCATTATCATAAAATGAACATATGTGAGAGCAAGGTTGTTAGGAATGGAACTTAAAATTAAAATGTGTACATGGAAACACTGAGTTTGAACATAAAGCAATTATCTACAAGGTAAGAACATCACTTTAAAAAGAGCTGTTCATTTGATTCTTTTGAGTGTGTATAGAAAGCTCAGGTTGAAGAAAACACTTTTAAGGATTTACTTTGAGGAGTTTTCTGTTTTTTGAATTAAGTTTTGAGTGAACTGTGTAATTCTTTCTCCTGGATGAACCTCACTCAAAAATAGAGAAACTTCTATGAAATATAGCATAATTTTAGCCTACTTGGTTCACAGATTACAGAAAACCAGGACATTCTTTTTCCTGGAATTCCTTAAAAATTGGGTCCACATGAAACTAGAGTCTCTTCTGGAGGAGCAAATCAGAAATATGAGAATGAAAGTACATTTAACAGTTTTCCTGCATCTTCTGGTCTCTCTTCATCTCATGTTTCAAATGTTATGGAAACATTGAGGTATCTTAAGGTCCAGATTTGGTACAATGGCTTGCTGTATATTTAATTTATCAATCATTTAAAAGATCAAACGAGCAGACTAATGTATCTCTGTACATTTTGAAGCGACTAAATTTTAAACTTTCGGCAAATACATGTGGACATAAATTAAATGTCACATGATATAATCTTTGCCAAGTACTCAGTGTGTGTAGATATCTAAGAAGCAACACACGATATTTAAGAAGCATAAACACAGAATTTAATAAAAAGAAAGCTGCAGAACTCTGTTAAATAAGATATTGCCTTAGCTTTTTAATTCCATGGTATCAATTATTCAATTTTATATTTCTCTTAGCATTTTTACTGCTAAAACCACTATCCAGAGTTACTATAATTCATTTTCCCAGATTTGAAAGTCATATGAAATTCAATTTAGTAAGGGCTTAATCAGAATAAAAAAAATAGGTTTGGACATTTAGTTTTTTTATCCCCTATACTTTGACAACTACTCTCCAATCCTTTCTACTAACACACAGGTACACACACACACACACACACACACACACACACACTCCCAAGCTAAAACTAAGTAAAGTTGTTATGCCAAAAAATGGGACATTAACACTATCCAAAATATATTTATTAAGATATTTATTAAGCATAAAGGGGAAAAATAATAATAAAGTAGGGAAATTTGCCCTCAAGTAATCAAAGTTGGCATTACCTGTAATGAATATATCTATATATCTATCTATGTGAGAAAGAAGCACATTGGGAAAATATGGGGTAAATTTGCAGAATGTAGGCAAAAGATATTTGATAATTTTAGAACATTTTAATAACAGCAATGAGATATAATTTACCTATCATAAAACTCACAATTTAAAAATATACAATTGAGTGGTTATTAGAATGTTCCCAGAATTGTGCAACCATCACCACTCTAATTTTCCTATTTTTTATCACCCCATTAGCAGTTACGCTCCATTCAACCCCTAACAATCCAAGTCTACTTTCTGTCTGATGGATTTATTTATTCTGGACCTTTAATATAAGTAGAGTAATACAACATGTGGTCTTTTGTGACTGGATTCTTTCACTGAGCACAGTGTTTTCAAGGTTCCTCTATGGTGCAGCATGTATCCTTCATTCATTTACTTTATTGCAGAATAATATTCAATTGCATAGATAAACCACATTTTGTTCATTTAGCAGTTGATGGACATTTGGATTTCTTCAATTTTGGGGAGAGGGGCTCTTTATATTTGTTTCATTTCACTTTGGTATGTACCTAGAATTTGAATAACTACATTATAATATTATTCTACATTTTATATTTAGAGAACCTGAAAAACTGTTTTCCAAAGTGGCAACATACATCATTTTACATTGGCAACAGCAATGTCTGAGGGTTCCAGTTACGCCACATCCTTGCCAATACTTCGCTATTGTCTTTTAAAAATTGTAGCCATACTAATGGGCACAAAACAGTATCTCACTGTGATTTTGATTTGCATTTTTCTACTAACTAATGATGTTCACATCATTCTGTAGGCTTGTTTTCCATTTGTATATCTTCTTTGGAAAATGTCTATTCAAATTCTTGACTCATTTTTTAAGTGAATTATTCGTCTTCTTATTGTGAAGTTATAAAATTTCTTGACACATTCTGAATACAAGAGAATATTGTTTGCAATATTATCAGAATTGCAAACATTTTCTCCCATTCTTTGAATTGCCTTTTAACTTTTCTTAATGTTGCCCTTTAAAGCAAAAATAATAATCATAATTGTAATGAAGTTCAATTTATTTATTTTGTGTCACTTGCAATTGTGGTTCATAACTAAGAAACTATTGCCTAAACTAAAATCATAAAGATTTACTCCTCTAATTTCTTATAAGATTTTTATAGTTTTAACTCTTACATGTAGGTCTATGCCCCATTTTTAGTTACTTTTTACATAGTATGAGGTGGGTGTTCAGCTTCATTCTTTGTAGTATAGCTATTCAGCTGTCCAATCACCATTGGTCAAAAACACTATTCTTTTTTTTTTTATTATTATACTTTTAAGTTTTAGGGTACATGAGCACATTGTGCAGGTTAGTTACATATGTATACATGTGCCATGCTGGTGCGCTGCACCCACTAACTCGTCATCTAGCATTAGGTATATCTCCCAATGCTATCCCTACCCCCTCCCCCCACCCCACAACAGGCCCCAGAGTGTGATGTTCCCCTTCCTGTGTCCATGTGATCTCATTGTTCAATTCCCACCTATGAGTGAGAATATGCGGTGTTTGGTTTTTTGTTCTTGCGATAGTTTACTGAGAATGATGACTTCCAATTTCATCCATGTCCCTACAAAGGACATGAACTCATCATTTTTTATGGCTGCATAGTATTCCATGGTGTATATGTGCCACATTTTCTTAATCCAGTCTATCATTGTTGGACATTTGGGTAAAACCACAATGAGATACCATCTCACACCAGTTAGAACGGCTATCATTAAAAAGTCAGGAAACAACAGGTGCTGGAGAGGATGTGGAGAAATGGGAACACTTTTACACTGTTGGTGGGACTGTAAACTAGTTCAACCATTGCGGAAGTCAGTGTGGCGATTCCTCAGGGATCTAGAACTAGAAATACCATTTGACCCAGCCATCCCATTACTGGGTATATACCCAAAGGACTATAAATCATGCTGCTATAAAGACACATGCACATGTATGTTTATTGCGGCATTATTCACGATAGCAAAAACACTATTCTTGCATGCACTGAATTGCCTTGGTATCCTTGACCAAAAATGTAGGGTTTTTGTTTGGATTCTCAATTCTTAGCCATTGAAAAGTGTTCATTCTTAGGCCAGTATTATCATGGTTATAGTATATGGTATAGTACCATGGTTATAGATAGTTTTGAAATCTGGAAGTATAAGTCTTCTAACATTGGTCTCTTTCAGGATTGCTTAGGCTATTCTGGTCCCTTCCCTTTCCCCTATTAATTTTTTAATTAATTTTTTTGAGGCAAGGTTATGCTCTATCACCCAGGCTGGAGTACCGTGGTACAATCTCGGCTCACTGCAACTCCGCCTCCTGGGTTCAAGAGATTCTCCTGCCTCTGCCTCCTGAGTAGCTGGGAATACAGACACACACCATCACACCCAGCTAATTTTTGTAATTTTAGTAGACATGGGGTTTCACCATGTTGGCCAGGCTGGTCTTGAACTCCTGACCTCAGGTGATCCACCCACCTTGGCCTCCTAAAATGTTGGGATTACCGGTGCGAGCCACTATGCACAGCCACATTTCCCTATTTATTTTGTTTTATTATTTTAATTTTTTTCCATAAGTTATTGGGGTACAGGCGGTATCTGGTTACATGAGTAAGTTCTTTAGTGGTGATTTGGGAGATTTTGATGCACCCATAATCTAAGCAGTATACACTGCACCATATCTGTAGTCTTTTATCCCTTACCCCTCCCGCTCTTTCCCCCCAAGTACCTACAGTCCATTGTATCATTCATATGCTTCTCTGTCCTCATAGCTTAGCTCCCACATATCAGTGAGAACATATGATGCTTGGTTTTCCATTCCTGAGTTACTTCACTTAGAATAATAGTCTCCAACCTTATCCAGGTCACTGCAAATGCTGTTAATTCATTCCTTTCTATGGCTGCGTAGTATTCCATCATACATATATACCATAGTTTATCCACTTGTTGATTGATGGGCATTTGAGTCAGTTCCACAATTTTGCAATTGCGAATTGTGCTGCTATAAACATGCACATGCAAGTATCTTCTTCAAACAATGACTACTTTTCTTCTGGGTGGATATCCAGTAGTGGGATTGCTGGATCAAATCGTAGTTCTACCTTTAGTTCTTTAAGGAATCTCCACACTGTTTTCTATAGTGGCTGTACTAGTTTACATTCCCATCAGCAGTGTAGAAGTGTTGCCTGTTTGCTGCATCCATGCCAACATCTACTTTTTTTTTTTTTTTATGGACATTCTTGCAGGAGTAAGTTGGTATTGCATGGTGGTTTTGATTTGCATTTCCCTGATCATTAGTGATGTTGAGCATTTTTTTCATATGTTTACTGTCCATTTGTATATCTTATTTTAAGAATTGTCTATTTATGTCTTTAGCCCACTTTTTGATGGGATTGTTTGTTTTTATCTTCCTGATTTGAGTACATTGTAGATTCTGGATATTAGTCCTTTGTCAGATGTATAGATTGTGAAGATTTTCTCCCACTCTGTGGTTTGACTGTTTACTCTGCTGACTGTTACTTTTGCCATGGAAAAGCACTTTAGTTTCATTAGGTCCTAGCTATTTATCTTTGTTTTTCTTTTTAAGTTTTGGAATACATGTGCTGAACATGCAAGTTTGTTACATAGTAATACATGTGCCATGAGGGTTTGCTGCACCTATCAACCCCGTATCTAGGTTTTAAGCTCCTCATGCATTAGGTATTTGTTCTAATGCTCTCCCTTCTGTTTCCTCCCACCCCCCCAACAGGCCCTGGTGTGTGATGTTCCCCTCAATGTGTCTATGCGTGCTCATTGTTCAACTCCCAGTTATGAGTGAGAACATGTGACGTTTGGTTTATTGTTCCTGTGTTAGTTTGCTGAGGATGACGGTTTCCAGCTTCATCCATGTCCCTGCAAAGGACATGAACTCATTCTTTTTTATGGCTGCATAGTATTCCATGGTGTATATGTGCCACATTTTCTTTATACAGTCTATCATTGACACGTGTTCGGGTTCATTCCAAGTCTTTGCTATTGTTAATAGTGCTGCAATAAACATACGTGTGCATGTGTCTTTATAGTAGAATGATTTATAATCCTTTGGATATATACCCAGTAATGAGATTGCTGAGTCAAATAGTATTTCTGGTTCTAGATCCTTGAGGAGTCACCACACTGTCTTCCACAATGGTTGAACTAATTTACACTCACAACAACAACGTAAAAGTATTCCTATTTCTCCGCATCCTCACCAGCATCTGTTGTTTCCAGATTTTTCAATGATCGCCATTCTAACTGATGTGAGATGGTAACTCATTATGGTTTTGATTTGCATTTTTCTAATGACCAGCGATGATGAGCATTTTTTCATATGTTTGTTGGCCATATAAATGTCTTCTTTTGAGAAGTGTCTGTTCATATCCTTCACCCACTTTTTAATGGGGTTGTTTAACGTCGGAAAAACTCTTCTAGACATTGGCTTAGGCAAGGATTTATGACCAGGAAGCCAAACCAAATGCAATAAAAGCAAAGATAAGCTTAAACAAATTTATTTTTGTTTTTAATTGCATTTGCTTTTGGGTTCTTGGTCATGAAATCCTTGCCTAAGCCAATGTCTAGAAGGTTTTTTCCAATGTTTTCTTCTAGAATTTTTTTTTGGTTTCAGGTCCTAGGTTTAGGTCTTTAGTCCATCTTGAGTTTAATTTAGATTCAGCTTCCCAATTTTGGTACATACAGCAGATATGATTTTGAAACAGATTGCATTAAATTTGTTTACCAAGTTGAGGAGTATTGCTATCTTTACAAACATTAAGTCTTCCAATCCATTAATTAGGAATTGTTTTATTCAATTATTCTTTTTTCTTTCTCCAATATTTTGTAGAATTTTGTATATGAATCTTACACTTCTTTTATTTCTTATTTTTTGGTGTTACTGTAAATTGAATTATTTCTATAATTTTATTTTTAGATTGTTCATTTCTATTGTATAAATATATACTGATTGTTATATATTAGTTTTTATCCAGAAAACTTCCTGAATCATTAATAAGCTCTAATAATTTATTTTGGATTCCATAGGATTTTCTATGCACAAAATATATCATTGGCAAGGAGAAATAATTTTACCTCTTTTCTGACATGGTTTGGACTTGTGTTCCTGTCCAAATCTCATGTCAAATTGTAATCCCCAATGTTGGAGCTGGGGCCTCGTGGGAGATGATGAGATCATGATGGCAGATTTCCCCCCTTGGTGCTCTTCTCCTGACAGAGTTCTCACGAGATCTAGTTGATTAAAAGTGTGTGGCACTTCCCCCACCTTCCTCCTGCTCCAGCCACGTGAAGACAACTGCTTCTGCTTTGTCTTTAACCATGAGTAAAAGTTTCCTGAGGCCTCCCCAGGTTGCCAGCCAGCATCATGCTTCCTGGACAGCCTATGGAACTGTGAGCCAATTAAACCTATTTTCTTTATAAATTACCCAGTCTTAGATATTTCCTTATAGCAATGTGAGAATAAACTAAAACATTTTCCAATCTGCATGCCTTTTCTTTTTCTTTCCTAATTGCTCTAGCTAGGACCTCCAGTATAATGCTGAATAGAAGTGGTAAGAGAAGACATCCTTGTCTGGTGCGCATCTTAGCAGGAAGCATTCATTTTTTCACTGTTAAGTATGATTTTAACTGCATGTTTTTGTAGATAGTTTTTTTTTATTAGGTTGAGGGTGTTCTGTATTTTGGATATGGGGATGGGGTAAGAAGGAACTGGAAGCCCCAGGAGGTGGGGAGAATGAAAGAAAGAGAAATATGGGATGAAGTAGGGAAAGGGGAAGGTAAGTCAGGGTTATCCCATGGTCCCTCTGGAATTGAGGTCAGTTGATCCTTGCCTGGCATGGACATAGAGTTCATCCTTTAGGTAGTTACTGCCTTGACAAGGACAGAGCATGGGC
The DNA here is from genome assembly GCF_000001405.40 of Homo sapiens. Taxonomy (NCBI): domain Eukaryota; kingdom Metazoa; phylum Chordata; class Mammalia; order Primates; family Hominidae; genus Homo; species Homo sapiens. The sequence continues at coordinate 57,650,607 of NC_000002.12, forward strand.
CTGATGGACCACTGAAGCAGGAGGGTGATGCAGGAGGGTGATGAAGTAGGAGGGAAAAGGAAGAGCAGTGTAGACAGAGGCAATGGGGAGTCTGAGGATGGTAGAACTTGTGGGTCCTCAAAAAAAAGCACATAATGCTAAAGGTTGGGAAACTGAGGGACAAAACTGGCATCTCCTAGTTCTTGCCAGTATCGGCTCAGGAGGCCCAGCTCTGCCTTGGCTCCCCTGGACTGCAGAGCCGAGACATGTAAGTGAGCTGTGGTTGGGAGCCATGGTGAACATCCAGGCCTCACAAAACAGCACTGAGGGATGGGCTGAGATCTTGGCTGCATTATGTTGGGGAGCTGGGAGGAATATGGCAGGTGGGGTGAGAAGCCCCTGGGAAAAGCTTCAGAGTGTGACAAGGAGGGGTGGCATGGGTCATAGCAAAGGTGCAGAGTTAGACAGCATCAGCCCAGGTTTCAGCCTCAGACAAGAGATGGGACTGAAAGGGTTCCTGCTTCTTTCTGTCCTTTCATAGGTTGGCCAACACCTAAGCAGCTCCCTATTTGCGTGTAACTGCTTCCTCCAGCCACATGGTAATGCCTTGTTTATGACCTGGTAGTCTAAAGAGCAAGGTGTTTTAGAGTAAGACATATGTGGAAGCTACCTCAGATGTTATCAGATTCTTCTGTCCTTCCTTCGACCCTTTCAAAAAGCACATGAGGAAACTGAGGTCCATAAAAGCCATTGGAATGGCAAAGGGAGAGAGAAGGTGGAATCCGCTTTTATTCAATTCTGCATTAAATAATGTCCTTAATTACTAAAGTGAAGTTCTGCTATGTCTGATGGGGAAGAGGCATCTTGGCCATCATACAGACACAGGAAGGACCTGGAATCTTGATTATTGCCCACAAGGGAGGATACTCTCTTCTATTTGCAGTGTGGTAAGTGTTTTATCATAAAAGGGTGTTGGCTTTTGTAAAATGATTTTTCTACATCTACTTGGATGGTCATGTCATGTTTATCTTTTATTCTAATAATATGATGTATCATAATGATTGGTGTTTGGGTGTTATCCAACATTTTATTTCTTGGATAAATCCCACTGAATTATTGTAGGTAATCCTTTTTATTAACATATGTTGCTGGATTTGGTTGCCTAGTATTGTGAGGATTTAGGTATCTGTATTTAAAAGGGATATTGGTCTATACTGGTCTTTTATTTTCAAGTGAAATCTTTTTATAGTTTTAGTATCTGAATAATTCTGACCTTATAGAATTAGTAGATAAATGCTCTCACCTCTTCTTTTTTTTGTAAGCATTTGTGAAAGATTGATGATAATTCTTTTTGAATGTTTGGTATAATTTACTAGTGAAGCCATCTGGGACAGTATTTGTGTGTATGTGTAAAGTTTTTTAATCGCTAATATAACCTCCTTATTTGTAAGTCTATTCAGATGATCTGTTTCTTCTTGAGTCAGTTTCAAGTGTCTATGTCATCCTAGAAATATTTCCATTTCATATATATTAACTTTTTGCATAAAATTGTTCAGAGTATTTCCTTCTAATCCTTTTTATTTTTTGTAAAAGCAGTAGTAATGCCCTATCATTCTTGATTTTAGTAATTTAAGTCCTCTCTTTTTGCCTTATCAGATCACTCTAGCTAAATGTTTCTCAATTTTGTTGATCTTTTCCAAGAACCAACTTTTCCAAAAGTTTTCTCTATTGTTTTTCTATCGCTTTTTTCATTTATTTATACCTTAATCTTTATTATTTTTTTCTTCCTTTTTACTTGGAGTTCAGTTTTCTCTTCTTTTTCAAGTTTCTTGGTCAAACGTTTAGGTTACTGATTTGAAATCTTTTTATCTTTTAAAATAGTCATTTACCACTATTTTTGTAATTCTATAAATACCTCTTTAGCTGTGACCCATAAGTTTTGGTCTATTATGTTTTCATTTTAATTTGTCTCAAAGTGTCTTCTAATTTTTCTCATGGATCTTTTCAACCCCATAGTTATTTAGAAGTGTGTGGTCTAAATTTTATATACTTATGAATTTTTAAAATTTCATTGTCATTGATTTCAAATTTAATTTCATTGTGGTTGGAGAAAATACTTGACATAATTTTAATTTGTTAAAATGTATTCAAGCTATTTTAAGGCCTCATATATGGTCTATGATAGACAACATTCCATGGAAACTTATGAAGAATTTGTATTCTACTGTTATTGGGTGGAGTGTTATAGAGATGTCTGTTACATATAGTTTGTTTATAGTGTTATGTGAGTGTTCTGTCTCCTTGATGATCATTTGCCTAATTGTTGTATCCATTATTAAAAGTGGAGTATTGACTTTTCTAAGAATTTTTGTTACACTGTCTATTTCTCTCTTCAATTCTAGCAGTGTTTGCCTCATGAAGTTTGGGGCTCTTTTGTTAGGTGTGTAGATACGTTTACAATTGTTAAGACTTTCAATTCTATTGTCATTTTTTACTTTATTTTTATGCATTTTTTTAGTGGTTGCCCTAGTCATTGCAAGTAACATCATAATTTATAAAAGTATAATTCCGATTAAAACCAATTGCTTATAATAATATACAAAAACTTTGCTCCTGTATATCCATTTTCTCCCCACTCCTTTGTGTTATTGTCATACAAATTAAATCTTTATACATTGTACGCCCAGCAATACATATTTTTAATTATTGCTTTATGAAGCTGTCTTGTAAATCATATAGAACAAAAAAAAGGTTTACAAACAAAAAAGGATTACAAAAAGTTGGTTTTATACTTACCTATTAAGCTATTTTACAAGTACTCTTTATTTCTTTCTGTGTACTTTTTAATTATCTATTGTCATTTCATTTTAGCCTTTGGTATTTATTATAGGATATGTCTTCTAAGGATGAATTCTCTGTTTTTTTTAATCTAGTAATGTCTAATTATAATTTTCATATTTAATGGATAGCTTTTTTCGATATAAAATAATTGGTTGGCAGTCATTTTCTTATAGCACTTTAAATATATCCTCCCACTACCTTCTGGTCTCTATGGTAGCTACCAAGGATTTAACAGTTAATCAAGTAAATAGCCTTGTATACTATGAATCATGTTTCTTTCACTGCTCTTAAGATTCTCAGTCTTTCACTTTTAACAACCTACAATGTGTCTAAAGATAGATTTCTTTGTTTGTCCTACTTGGAGTTCACTGAGCTTCTTGAGTAGGTAGATTAATGTTTTTATTGAATTTGGAACATTGTCAGCCATTATTTCTTCAAATATTCTTTTTGTCCTTTCATTTGTCTTCTCTTTCTGGGGTATTCCTTATATGTATGTTGGTATACATAATAGCACTTCACAGGTTCTGAAGCTCTGTTTATTCTTCTCTTTTTCTTTATTCTTTTCTCTTTATTTTCAAAATGTATATTTGACCTCTTTTGAAGTTAATTTACTCTTTCGTCTACCAACTCAAGTCTGCTGTTGAATCCTTCTGGTGAAACTTACAATTCAGTTATTGTATTTTTCCACATCAATAATTCTATTTGATTTCTTTTCACAATTTTTATTTTTAGTGATATTCTCTGGTGAAATAGTACTTGTACTTTACTTTTTTATACATGGTTTCCTTTAGATTTTTAAAAACTTATTTGTAGTAGCTGGTTTAGTCTTTATCTTATGTGATATGCAGAATAATGACTCTCCAAAGAAGTCCATTTCTTAATCATTGAAATCTGTGAATATGCTACACTACATGGTTAAAAGGAGTTTACAGGATTATTAAATTAATGGACCTTGAGACTGGGAGATTATTCTGTATTCTCTGGGCATTCCTAATTCAATCACATGAATCTTTACAAGCAGAGAAACTTTCCTGTCTTTAGTCAGAAAGAGATGCAAGTACGCAAGAAGAGATGGAGAGATTCAAAGTGAGAAAAATTCAATCTTTTATTTCAAGCCATGAAGAGGGAATAATAAGACAATGATCTAAGAAACACATAGGTGGCCTTTAGAAGCCAGAAAAGGCAAGGAAATAAATCATGCCCTATAGATTCCAGAAAGGAAGTCAGTCCTGCTGACTCCTAGATTTTAGCCCAGTGATCCAGTTGAATTTCTGAGCTGCAAAACTGTAGGATAATAAGTTTATATTGTTTTAAGCTACTAGTTTTTGGTAATTTGATATGGCATCAAAAGAAAAATAACACATCTTATAAATCCAACATCCAAGTTTTCTCAGAAACACTTTCTCTTGATTGCTTTTTCCTGTGTATGGGCCATACTTTCCTATATCTTTATGCATCTCACAACTTTTTTTGAAAATTGCGACACAGGATCTTTCCTGATCACTTTTGCCAGCTGGAGACAACTGGGTGGCAACACCCTTGCCCTGCCTCAGCCCATGGCTTCAGGGGTGGCTCAGCCCCACTGCAATTTCTGTCATCTGGAGCAGCGGCCCTCCCCTGGTGAATGGCAGAGGGCCAAGCACACATTTGGTGAGACCAGAGCTCTTGTCCCATGTCCAAGAAGAATGAGGATACACTGACAATCAAAGAGTGAGGAAGGCAGAGAATAATTTTATTGAACAATGACACAGCTCTCAGCAAAGAGGGGATGCAAGGGAGATCCTCCACCTGGAGTAGGGTGGTTTCTCTCCCAGGGTGACTGAGTCTTGGGCTTTTATGGGTTCAGTATAGGGGAACACATGCTGATTTGTTTGTGAGTATGCAAAGAAAGGCTAACGCAAAGGCACCACTCAAAGGTGGGCATGGCAGTGTAGAAAACCAATTAGGAAAGGGTAGGTATATGTAAAATAGGTGAAGGATGGGGATCAATCAGAGGAAAGCATGACAAATGGGAAGAAACTTTCTCAATCTGGTCCCAGGATTTGACTTGTAGCTTGGCTTTCAGGCTTTAAATTGTCTTTGGCTTAGAGGTAAGGTTTCAACAGGGACCCACCCCTATCTGCCTAGGCATTTGACTGCCTACTGTCACTATCAACTGGACATTTCAATATAATATGAACAACTCTGGAAATGAGATCCCCTGTCCAGGATTTGTTGTATTATTGTTTTTAATCAGCTTTGTTTTCTTTTGTTGTTTTTTGTTTATTTGGTGACTTTCCTGAACTAAGTATGCAAAGTTTGTATTCCTTGTTGTGTGCAGTCATGAAAGTCTCTGGTTAGCTCAATGTTCAGCTAATGATTGTACAGAAATTTTCTTAAATACCTTAAATCACTAAATCTTCCTCCCTTTGTCAAAAGGCCTGTGTGTGCTTTGGGGCACAGCTTCAATTCTCCATTAATTTACTTTTGACCTTCACTTACAAGGTCCCAAGGATGGCCAGAGGTGAAAGATTAGGGCTCTCTCAGGTCTTTCCTTAGCATGTACACAGCCCTACACCTGTGCAACACTTATGTGTGCACCTGGTATTCCAGATTCTTAGCAACAAGTAGGAACTTTGCAAAGTCTCCTATTGACATTTTATTCTACAGATTTAAAAAAAAATAAATGTTTCACAACTTATTTGCCTCAACTGGTATCATCACCTCTGCAGCAACAGTGTTAGGAAACTGCTGCTGATTGTTTCAGCAAATGCCCTAGAGATACAATTCTCTACAGACGGAGCATCTTGAGGAACTTCAAATCTGGACTTCCCCTTCCAGGGGCTGCTATTCGGCTGGTTTTCAAGGATACCACTGAATTATTACAAAAGGGATGAAAATGAGGCAAACTGAAATACCGTGAAACTCCTTGTACTAAGTTTCAGTCATTTTTTAATAAACCCTCTTCAGATTTTGCAAAGTTAGCTTATTTTGAAAATTCTGAAAAAGCTGATTTTGACAAATTTTGCTAGTGTTTTTATTGCTTTTATTTAGAAGTCATTTTTCAGAGTTCTTTACTGTTATGGGAGTTCTGCCCCTTTAGTGCTGTTTTTTCTAATTTATGTCAGTCTAAGTTGTTATAAAATAAAGAATTAAAATACATATACAATCACAGATACAAATAATGATACTTGGGGAAGAAAATATCAAAATCTTATCCATGAAATAACTACTTTTATATTCATCGGGCTTATCTCCAAATATAACTTTAGGACACTTTATACTGAGTTTTTATCTTATTTTTCATCTTTGGCCTTAAGTGTAATTAAGTATACCTATGAATACTTAAGTCAGTGAAGTATAATTTAAGTGTGCATGTTAGTAAAGCCGATAAACATCCCATAAAATTATTTTGCAACAGAAATATGTAGGAAATCAGAGATCTGATTCTGTTATTTCCATTTAAAATTTGTATTTTATATATCTCTTTTGTAAGTTTTATATGAAAGGACAAAAGATACGTTAAATTTGTTTATTGATTCTCTTTGATCTTCCTAAATTTCTAACATGTAACATTTTACTGTCTTGAATGCCTATCGTTTTTAGAAAACATGATTATTCTTATCACTAAGAATGATTAATAATAATACTTTACTATTTATGCTTCAAGAATTATAAAAAAGAAGTAATTATTTTAAAAGATAAAAAATCTTTATTCATTAGGGAAGTTGCCCAAGCAAAAGGGAATTTCAGATGAATTCTCATATAGGGAGAAAATGACTCTTTTACAGTACATCCTATTTCACTTCATCATGTTTATCTTTGATCAAATGTTGTTACTGCATATTCTTTAAGGGAACCAAAAAACTTCAATGTTTTACATTTTATGCAGCCAAACCTGTCTGAAGAGAAATCTTGGGAAAAGAAAAACCAGTCTCAAGAGCAGCTGCTCAAATGATGCCTAATTAAATTTTCACGCACATGTTAAAAGGATATGTTAATACTTTGTGTGCACTCAGTGAGCTTTGTAAAGCAACTTAGACAATCAGAATTTATAAAGTATTGAGGAATGCCTCTAAATTCTACCTGCTGCTGCTCTAAGTGCTATGGTGGTAATAGCTCATGCACTGATGCGCAACCTGGGTGCACACTGGGACTACGTGGGCAGCTTTACAAAAAACAATTCTAACGCCCAGGTTTAATCCATTCATCAGAGTTTGAATTAATGGATACTGGATATAGAATATGATTTTGGTATCAGGATCTTAATAGCTCCCCAAGTGATTCTAGGATGTATCAAAATTTATCTACAACAGTAATTCTTAAACTTTGCTGTGTATGTGAATCAACTAAGATCTTGTCGAAATGCAGATTCTGATCTAGTAGGGCTGCACTGGGTCCCGAGAATCTGCATTTCTTTTTTTTTATTTTGTTATGATTATACTTTCAGTTTTAGGGTACATGTGCACAACGTGCAGGTTTGTTACATATGTATCTGTATTTCTTACAAGGTCCCAGGTAATGCCAAAGACGGTGGTGCTTGGAGCACACTTTGCATAACAAGATACTTACAGAAATTAGAACCACCACCAAAAATAATGGCCATAAATAAAAGCTACTCATTCCTGTTGAATAATATTCAAAGTACATTTTAGATTGGTTTCAGAAAAAAAGGAGAGAACAGTAAATTCTACTAAAGTACTCTTTCCTCCTCCTCCACAGACATTTTTTGCTAAGATTCAAATTATTGCAAAAACATACCTGTCCTTTGAACATAGTTTAGGAAACCTCACTTTCCAAAATGAGTTTTTCAGTTCTTTCTTTTAATTTCTCTTAAATTTTATGCAGTTCAATACTAAAGTTTCTTTAGTTTTTGCCACTGTAAATTTTATAAGGGAAGAGCTGTATTTCATATTTCTTGAGCAAAGATTAAGGTGATACAAGCTTCAAGGAATACTTGCTAAATAGTGTTCAAATATATTTCAAATATTATACAGACATTGAAAAGCACTTGGCTTAAGAGACGTTGCAGGAAAAATGAATGGGTTGGTTATATATGCTACTACTGAATTTATACAACTTGTATGTGATTGAAATCCTATGCTATACTTCTTACAAAAATAGTCTCATATGGTACCAGTTACCTGTTGAAATTTTTGTCAAGGTTTCTTGGCCATTAAGTATGTATATAATACACATCCTGTGCTGGCTTCATACTTGAAAACCAAGGCATTGGAAAAGCTGTGATGTACTCTCAAATCCTCTTGCATCCATTAATTGAGACATAAAATTCTCTTTTCTGACCTTCATGTTTTTAGATTTTGCACCTTGACTTTATTAAAATTCAAATAATCCTGAGGGGGGAACATTTCTAAAATGTATTAATAGTAGTCTATCTGTTAAGTGTGAATGAAAAATTTGAGATACAGTTTGATACAAGTGTAAGAATACAAAACAAAGAGCTCAAAGTATAATTTTGTACATCGCAATTTCAGAGACCAAATGTCCCCAAATTGACTCTTGTAATGTTAATTAGAGCTCCTATTTGAACATCAGCTCAGAATAAACTAACTTTACTCTATTAATGTAGTTAGAATTTGCTTAGTGCCCGCTATATGCACAGCTCTGTATGGCAATTACAATAAAATAGAAATTTTCTTCAAAGAAAAAATTGCACTAAAATTAAAAGGTAAAATGATAGAAAGTAAGATAATGACTTTATCAACACTAGGCAAAGTTATTGGACAAGGTGTGTTATAAAGATAATTATGTATCTCTTTGAAATTAAAACAATACTGTTTCTACTTCATTTCCAAAGCAGAAATATCCATGTCAATGAGGATGACATTGATCCCCAATCCCAGTAGAAGCATTCAAGTCTAATCACATTTATGAGGTATTTAATATTTTTATATATGCCTTATTTTGCAATATGTTGTCTTTACTTTTTTAACTATGCAAAGTATTTACATTAAACTTCCTGTAAATGTCAATTTAATAAAGCTGATACAATCAACCCATTCTAAAACAATTTCCAGATCATACTCAGCTTGATTCTTCTTTGAGCTTGTCTTTTTTTTTGTGGGGGGTCATTTGAAAAATCAATTTAATATGTTGTTCACTGTTCAAAGCATTTTGGGATCTAACTCCAGAGAGGATATTTTGAATGGCAAATGCCAGTCCATTGAGATTAGACTGAACTTTTTTTTAAATTTTAGTTTCAGAGATGCATATGCAGGTTTGTTCTGTAAATACACTGCATGTTGGGGTTTGGTATACAGACTATTGCATCACCCAGGTAATAAGAACAGTACCCAATAGATAGTTTTTTGATCCTCACCCTCCTCCCACCCTCTCCCTCAAAGCAGGCTCTGTTGTCTATTTTTCCTTCTTTGTGTTCATGGGTACCCAGTGTTTAGCTCCCACTTATAAGTGAGAACATGCAGTGTTTTTTTTTTCCTATTTCTGCATTAGTTTGCTTAAGATAATGGCCTCCAGCTCCATCCATGTTGCTGCAAAGGACATTATCTTGTTCTTTTTATGGCTGCATAGTATTCCTTGGTGTATAATACTACATTTTCTTCATCCAATCTACTATTGATGGGCATTTAGGTTGATTCTGTTTTTGCTATTGTGAATAGTGCTGCAATAAATATACACATGCATGTGTCTTTATGGTAGAATGATTTATATTCCTTTGGGTATATATCCAATAATGGAATTGCTGGGTCAAATGGTAGTTCTGTTTTAAGTTCTTTGAGAAATCTTCAAACCACTTTCTACACCGGCTGAACTAATTTACATTCTTGCTAGCAGTATATAAGTGTTCCCCTTTCTCCACAGCCCTTTTTGAGTTTTTTAATTGAAAATGTCTACAACTCAAAAAGTCAGAAGAAACTGAAAGCAAAAATCCCAGAAACTATATACACAAAAACAGGATCTAAACATATACACAGTCGATAAGAAAGGCAGAGCCTCAGAAAGTTCTTGATAAAAAAAGTACACCTGTAAAACCATTGCCACAATCAAGATAGAAAGTATTTCTATTTTTATCCATTATAGTCCATTTTTACTTCTGCCTCTGAGCCCGGCAACAGATCCCCTTTTGGTTTCCAATATATTAATTTGCATTTTCTAGAATTTCATCATACATTTGTCAAAATTTGTCACATTATACATTTTAAATGAATTATTCTTCAATAAAATAGGTCATTCTTTATTAAAATTGATCAAATATAATGGGATAGGTTATTTAAAGTTCAAAAAGTTTGAGCCTCTTAAAATCCTGTTCAGAGGCCCCTGATGTCATCTACATCTTTCTATCTCATCTCTCTTTTCCAAGAGTAAAGAATGCCTTTAAAAAGGCATTGATGAACTCTAGAAAGATGACTTTTCTTGCCTTAGGAGCCAGCAGAGTCCTCAAGGGATACATAGTTATTGTGGTTATCCTCAAGTTAACTTTTTCCTCCTGTCTACCTCTATGTACTTATTCAATGTAACTATGAGTGACAAGAAAGTGTCTTTAACTTTGACTTGTTCATCAACCTGGAAGATCAAACATACACCAAAGTCTTCCCACACTAAAAATACACACACACACACACACACACACACACAAACACAAGATGAAAGATAACTTCTCTAATTTAAGAATCCGCTTATTAATAATCAAAGGAAAGTACTATTCAAGTCATGGTTAAGAAATTAGGGCTTTCTGGTTCTTGTCATGCTTACAAGTAGTGTCATGACATCAGAAGTCATTTCCTTGCATTTTTTTTTCTACTGATACAAAAGGTTTTATTGAGCAATTGAAGATAGTACCTCTAGCTAGCCCTATTTAGAATACAATCATCTCAATTCTTTCATTGAGAAGGTAATTTGCTTTGGAATGATGTACTATAGTACTATCAGACATGGTAGAAGAAAAATTAAGGTCATCCAAAGCATTTTAGAATTCCAGTAAGCAGCATCTTTAAAGGGTCTGTGGGACTGTAGGTATAATTTGTGCAGGAAATGGTCCTAAATGGTAAGCAAATCCATCTCTTAATGTTACAGGAGTGCTAGAATATCTAAAATACTTCAAGATAAATTATTTAACTAAACACAGAGTCATTTTGATCTTTAATTACTTTGGAATTCTAGGATTTTAGATAATTTTATTAAAATACTCTCTATAAAGATTTATGTTTTCTTTCACCCCCTTTCCTCTCTCTCTCCCTCTTATTTTTAATCTTTGATGCTATCATATACTTAAGAACATTCACTTGTTGGTCACATTTTTATGAAGAAATGGAAAAAATAGTCTATAAAAATGTGTAAATGTCGGTCATTGAGAGTTGATAAATCTCATTTTCTTATGATGAAACACCTTCGATATCTTGACATTTTGTGCTCACATAATTCCTCTGATATCTATCACTAATCTTCTTAGAGTCCTTGTGTGGAATACTGGTATGTTGAGGAAGCACAAATTGCAAAGTTGCCAAAAGACCAATTTCAATCTAATCAGAACTTGCAGTGCTTCACTGAAGGCTACATAAACACTCTGTTAATATTCACAGCAGCAGCTTTGTCAATAACTACCTCAGAATCTTCAAATTTATAACAGAAATCAGCAAACTATTGATTCTCTGACATTGATAGATCTATCCAGATTCACTGCCTCCTTTCTCTTGCCTCTGTCCCAATAGAGGGCACAAATGCCAGTTGCTCTATTAGGCTCCTAAACACTGAAAGATCATTATTAAAGTATGGCTGGCATCCCTGATCATTAATTATAATCGTGTGCACATATGCAGAGTGATTGCGGGAAATAATCAGCTTTCTCTGCCAAATTGGCAACATCTAGAAATTAATTTGTTATGACACAGCATCAAAGATATTTAAACAACAAACTCAAGGCTCTACTGCTCTGTGTACATTGTTAAGATATCAGATAACATCATTAAAAAATAGTTAACTTATCCAGAGGGAGGTGGTATATATCCTTGAACTTCCTTTCTAGTGGGATTCTAAAAAATAATTTCTGTGTGTCCTTGATCCCACAATTCATGTACTGGGGACTCCCCTCCAGAGTGCCTGCTACTCAGGGACTATTGACTTAGATTGCCCAGAAGAGCAGCTGTCAGTCTAGAACTACTTACATGGGCATTGGAAGGATGATTCTAAGTGTGGTAAGGGCAAAGATTAGACAGGACTGCTATTTATCTGCTGGGATACATTAGAATTCACTTATCTACTTGATTCTTCAGGAGTAAAAATAACAAAAGCAGATTCATAACACTGGTGTGCATCACATCAAAGGAGAAGAGGTGGTGGTAAGGTAAGCTTGCTTGTCCCATGCCTGATGCCGGGCCATTCACTCCAGTGTAAGAACACTCAACTTGTGAACATTGAGATACATTGTATGTTTCTCTCCATACTCTAACGTTTCACACCACACAGCAACACAACTCTTCCACCATGGTTATTCAGGGAACTTCCTAAGTCAGTGTCTCCTCCACCACTTCCTTTTATCCACCTCAGCAGAATCAACCTGAAGCCATGTGCTTTGTCCTTCAGCCAAGTTCCCTCTTCAATTCCCAAATATCCCTCCAACACACACATTAGTAAAATTTTACTTCATTTCTTTGGCATATGAAAATACAGGCTAAAAAGGTAGTTTTTATAATAATTTTCTTCTAAGGGCTCTGATTGTCCCTAGAAGACGTTACTATTGATTCCTTTTTGTCAAAAAAAAAAAAAAAAAAAAGCAGCTAAATGTAAAACAGCACCAATAACACATCTTTCCAAACAAAAATCCTAAGGGTTTGTTGAGGCACCACTTTTCCCCCATTCCTGATGCTTTTTTCCATATGGGTATACACCTTGGTTTCCCTATAGACATTTATTCACTCCATCTTCGTTGGGGATGTAATTTGGGAAGAAAAAACAGGACTTACATAGCCAGACCCTCCTTTCTTCCTCTTGAGACTGAACTACCCATAAAAACAATTATTCTCCACTTTTCTCCCAAGGCAGCTCTTTGCCTGCCTCCACCAACTGAGGGCCTGCCCAAGTCCAGCACTGCTGGTCATCTGTTGGCACTCTGGTTTGAACATATTCCCTCCAAAATGTAGTTGTTTCCAATGTGATAGTATAGGCATGCCTCAGAGATATTGTGGGTTTGGTTCCACACCACCACAATAAAGCTAATATCTAAATGAAGCAAGTCACACTATTTTTTTTTGTTTTTCAGTGTATATATAATCATATCCTCTGCTGAAGATTTGAACCCCTTAAAGTCATGCATGAGGGCTGCAATCAACTTCTTCCAATCCCTCATTAATGCTGATATTTTGACCTCCTGACATAAATTATAAATGTTCTTAATGTCATCTAGACTGTTGAATCCTTTCCAGAAGGCTTCAATTTACTTTGGGCAGATCCATCCAAGGAATCCCTATCAATCAATGGCAGCTATAGTCTTATGAAATGTATTTCTTAGGCCAGGCGTGGTGGCTCATGCCTGTAATCCCACAACTTTGGGAGGCTGAGGCAGGTGGATCACCTGAGGTCAGGAGTTCTAGACCAGCCTGACCAATATGGTGAAAGCCTGTCTCTACTAAAAATACAAAATTAGCAGGCTGTGGCGGCACATGCTTGTAACCCCAGCTACTTGGGAGGCTGTGGCAGGAGAATCGCTTGAACTCAGGAGGCAGAGGTTACAGTAAGCTGAGATTGCACCATTGCACTCCAGCCTGGGCAACAAGAGTGAAACACCATCTCAAAAATAATAATAATAGTAATAATAAACCTATTTCTTAAATAACAGGACTTCAAAGTCAAAATTACTCCTTGATCCATGGGCTGCAGAATAGATGATGTGCTAGCAGGAAAGGAAACATTAATCTCTATGTACATCTCCACTGGAGCTCTTGAGTGACCAGGAGCATTGTCAGTGAACAGTAATATTTTGAAAGGAATGCTTTTTTTGTTTGTTTTTTCTGAGCAGTATGTCTCAACAGCAGGCTTAAAATATTCAGCAAACCATGCTGTAAACAAATGTGCTGTCATTTAGGCTTAGTTTTTCCATTAATAGGGCACAGATAGCCAATTTGACATAACTCTTAAAAGCCCCAGAATTTTTAGAATGACAAGTAAGCATTGGCTTCACCAGCTGCATTGCCCTTAACAAGAGAGTCTGCCCATCCTTTGAAGCTTTAAAGCGGGCATTGACTTCTCTTCTGGAGGCATTTCCTTCCAATAGAAGACTGGTTCATCTACATTGAAAATCTATTGCTTAGTGTGACCATATTCATCAATGACCTTAGCTACATCTTCCGAGTAACTTGATGTCACTTCTCCAGCAGCACTTGATGCTTCATCCCGCACTTTTATGTTATGCAGAGTTTCTTTCCTTAAACCTCATAAAGCATCCTCTACTAGCTTCAAACTTTTCTTCTGCAGCTTCCTCACCTCTCAGCCTCCATAGCATTGAAGAGAGTTGGGCCTTGCTCTGGATTAGGTTTTGGCTTACAGGAACGTTTTGGCTGGTTTGATATTCTATTCAGACCACTAAAACTTTCTCCATATTAGCAATAAGGCTGTTTTGCTTTCTTATCATTTGTATTATGTTGATTAAAGTAGTACTTTTAATTTCCTTCAAAAACTTTTCCTTTGAATTCAAAATTTGGCTGTCTGGAGCAAGAGGCCTAGCTTATCTTAGCTTTTGACATGTCTTTCTCACTAAGCTTTATCATTTCTAGCTTTTGATTTAAAGTGAGAAATGTGCAACTCTTCCTTCCACTTGAACGTTTAGAAGCCACTGTAGGGTTATTAATTGGCCTAATTTCATTATTGTTGCATCTCAGGGAATAGGGAGGCCCAGGGACAGAAAGAGAAATGGGGAAACATCCAGTTGGTAAAGCAGTCAGAACACATACATCTATGGATTAAGTTCACTGTGTCATACAGGCAGGTGCATGGAGTGCAAAATAGTTACAATAGTAACATCAAAGATTGCTAATCACAGATCACCATAAAAGAAACAGAATAATAAAAAAATTTGAAATATTGCAAGAATTACCCAAATGTGACACAGAGACACAAAATGAGCATATGCCATTAGAAAAATGGTACTGACAAACTTCCTCAATGCAGGGTTGCCACAAACCTTTAATTTGTAAAAAACACAATATCTGCAAAATGCAACAAAATGAGGTATGCTTATGTTAAGAGGTGGAGTCTTTAAGAGGTGGTTAAACCATGAGGGCTCCTCCCTCATAAGTAGTGTTTAAGTCCCTTATAAAAGAAACCACAAAGCATTGGGTTAATTTTCTCTTACTCTTTTGCCATATGAGGAACGAGCATTTGTCCCTTTTGTCCTTCTGCCATTTGAGGAAGCAACAAGAAGGCCCTTACCAGATGCTGGTGCCTTGATCTTCAACTTCCCAGCCTTCAGAACTGTGAGAACTAAACTTCTGCTCTTTATAAATTATAAATTTATGGTATTATGTTACAGTAGTACAAACAGACTAGGACAGTTGGTAAATCTACCTAATTTTTGAGCATATTCAGTAAGCCCATTTGGTTCTGGAACAAAGCCCTCCAACTTAGCATTTGTCAATAGTAAAATTGACATTCTGATTTCTATTGGTAATCCTTTTATATTATTTCAATTTTTCAGAAAGCTGGCAAGGAAGTGGGATGCTATTTAATGGACTTCTATAAATGTTGCAACCTTTGCTATGTGGTCCATAAAAAGAAACAAAAAAGTGGAATTTGAGATGAAAAATTATAATACTAGTGAGGCTAGGGAGTAGGGAGGCCTTGGCTGTCTATGGCTGCCTCCAACTAGATGGCAAATCTACCTAATACTAAGCTACATCCTCCATCTTGCATTTTATTAGTAAGGAAGTTGATGTTTTGGCCTCCATCTGACACTTTTTTATTCAGTTTTTTCAGAACTTGGCTGGGAAGAGGATTTCAAAGAGTAGAAGTTAAAATAATTAGCACAGTAATGAAGAAAAATTACTGAAATAAAATGCAAGCAATCAAATAATTTTTGTTTTCTTCATTTTAAATAGCAAATGGGCACAGAATTGCATGAAACCTAATCTTTGTTTCATGATACTCATCATCTATGCTTGGTTTGTCATTTGTAATATGCTTAATAATGTACTAAATACCTTGACAGTTACATCTTTTAGTCTCCTTTGCTGAATTCACTCCTGGTCCCAACCTAAGAACCACTCAGTTATGAATCTATTCAAGCATTTATATCTGATAAGTTTACTTGAATAGAAGTATATAGGATTATTAACTGAAGCCAGAGAGACAAACGAGGAAACTACTGCAATAATCTAGGCAAGACATAATGAGAATTTTAATTTTGTCACTATCATTAGAAATAGGAAAGCAGTCACCAGAATCTAAAGAAACAGAATTTGGGATTGGCCTTGCCTGTAAGTACAGCCTTAGTTTTCTCAGGTTTTTCTTTTTCTTTTCTTTTCTTTTTTTTTTTTTTTTTTTTTTTTTTTGAGACAGTCTCGCTCTGTCATTCAGGCTGGAGTGCAGTGACATGATCTCATCTCACTGCAACCTCTGCCTCCTGGGTTCCAGCGATTCTCCTGCTTCAGTCTCCCGCATAGCTGGGATTACAGGCACACGCCACCATGCCTGGCTAACTTTTTGTATTTTCAGTAGAGACAGGGTTTCACCATGTTGGCCAGGGTCGTCTCGAACTCCTGACCTCAGGTGATCCTCCTGCCTCGGCCTCCCAAAGTGCTGGGATTACAGGCGTGAGCCACCACACCCTGCCTAGTTTTTTCAGTTTTAAAGTAATGCATTTGAAAAAGAGTCATTTCAAGTGTTCCTTCCTAGTCAGGAAATCTGTGAAGAATATTCAGTGTGAAATCTTTGAAAGTGAAATGAAGCTACCTGGACTCCTCATAGCATGGGATGGTAGAAAGAATTCAAGCTAATCATACTCAGGTTAAGAAAATTCATCCTCAGATTCTTTTTTTAATTATTATTTTGATAGGAGTCTCACTCTGTTTCCCAGGCTGGAGTGCAGTGGCCGGATCTCGGCTCACTGCAACCTCCACCTCTTGGCTTCAAGCGATTCCCATTCTTCAGCCTCCCAAGCTACTGAGATTACAGGTGCATGCCCACACACTCAGCTAAGTTTTGTATTTTTTTTAGTAGAGATGGGATTTCACCTTGTTGACCAGGCTGGTCTCAAACTGCTGACCTCAGGTGATCCACCCACCTCAGCCTCCAAAAGTGCTGGGATTACATGCGTGAGCCACCATTCTAGGCCCATCCTTGGATTCTTTTTTTCAGTTTTTTGACCCTAGATAAATTACTTAAACTTGTTGAGCTTCAGAGTACTTACCTGCAAAACAGGAATAATAGCTACTTTACAGGGTGTTATAAGGCTAAGAATTCTAGGTAAAATACAGAGTACCTGACAAATGCTAGGAGAGTTTATTAAATTGTAGATTTATCTTATCTCTGTTCCATTAAATCTAATTTCCTCTAGTTCCAATGTTTTTAATAAAAATCATCACTGTATTTTGGTATTTTATTATTTTGTTTTATTAGAAGTGTTAGAGTACATTTATTTTTCCAAATTTTATTGTAAAATAAGATTTGGAAATTATGCTATGAATTAAATAGGATTGTATAGGCTGGCCTGGGAGACAAACTGACATTTTCAATATTGCATATATGTGAAAACTTGTTTAAGACTGCAAATGATTGACATCCAAATAAAGTATCAGATAGGACCACTTCCTTATTTGAGAATTTGCTATAAATTGATGGATGGTATTAAAGGTTTATAAACATATCTTAATAATGGGAAGTGCTGCATGAGACAATTTTTATGAAATAGGGCTGAAATTTTGCTTACTTGGACTTATAAAAATGATGAGAAAATGGAGAAAGGACAAGGAGTGAAGGGAAGATGAATAGAGAGGGAGAATAAAGAAAGAAGAAACTCATTGGTTTCCCAAACAGTCACTGCAGAGAACCTAATGGAAGTATGAATTATTCCAAAACCTCTCCAAACTTTTCATCTACATCTTAATTTATATCTTATTTTTTATAAAAAATTACATTTAATTTTAGCAATTCAATTGTGACTGGCACTGTCTATGGTATTTGACAGTCAATAAGAAACGCTTTTTGCTTGAGAGGATGTGGAGAAATAGGAATGCTTTTACACTGTTGGTGGGAGTGTAAATTAGTTCAACCATTGTGGAAGGCAGTGTGGCAATACCTCAAAGATCTAAAACCAGAAATACCATTTGACCCAGCAATCCCATTACTGGGTATATACCCAAAGGATTATAAATCATTCTACTATAAAGACACATGCACACATATATTTATTACAGCACTATTCACAATAGCAAAGACTTGAAACCAACCCAAATGCGCATCAATGATAGACTGGATAAAGAAAATGTGGGACATATACACCATGGAATACTATGCAGCCATAAAAAAGAATGAGTTCATGTCCTTTGCAGGGACATGGATGAAGCTGGAAACCATCATTCTCAGCAAACTAATACAAGAACAGAAAACCAACCTCCACGTGTTCTTACTCATTAGTGGGAGTTGAACAATGAGAACATATGGGCACAGGGAGGGGAACAACACACACTGGGGCCTGTTGGGAAGTGGCAAGCAAGGGGAGGGATAGCATTAGGAGAAATACCTAATGTAGACGATGGGATAATGGGTGCAGCAAACCACCATGGCACATGTATACCTATGTAACAAGGTTCTGCACGTGTATCCCAGAACATTAAAAAAATTATATATATATATATATATATATATATATAAACACTTTGATTTTGCAATTGAATTTCTTTCATTAAAAGCTACTGAACAATAATTATATATCCTTAGGGGAATCAATGAAAATAATCTCTAGGTGAAATGTTAATGTATTATAAAATTATTTACCTTCTGGTTCAATGTTGACATGGATAACGGCTTCCACTAACTTTTCCTTGAACCTGTAAAAACAAAATAAGTATTACCTTCTTTTAACAAAAGCTTATTTTTAGTTAGCTTTGTTATTGAACTATTTTATTCTTTTCTTCAGTGTACTATCAGAATTTTATTTCAAAAGCCAAGGAATAAATTGAATGCTTGGAGAAAATGTTATTATCAATTTACTTTCCTGTCATCATTTTAAACTGACATGTTTTACATGACTCTTTTGGGCAGTGGTTGATTTTTTATTTTAACTAGGGTTGCATATGGTTGGGGAATTCCCATCTCACCTTGCAACATACACAATAAATATATCTGATTCATTTCTATGTAATTAAAAAAAGTAAACATGAAGTCATTACTTCAGCCTACAGACTAGGCAAATTTCAAAATTGAGCAGTAGGAGTCTTATTACAAACATTTATAGGTTTGAAGAAAGAAAACCAGAATCAGAAGATAACCACAGAGTATCTTCCGAGTACTAAAAAAAACTTATGCCAAGATAATAATTGCAGTATTATATTATTGAATATTAAAATAGCTGGATAATAATCTGTATACATATTTAGTTTAAGCAGATATTGGCAAACAGTTTTTCAAAATTGCTATACCAATTTATCCTCCCACAACAATCATGAGAGTACCAGTTGCTCTATACATTCACCAAATCTTTGGATTTTCAGGGATTTTAAAAAAATCTTATACACTCTAGTGTGAGTCTAGTCACATTATATTTTTGTTTCAATTTACATTTCTTAACTAATTATGCCAAGCAACTTTTTATACCTTTGCTGGCCATTTAGAAGTTCCTACCACTTTCTTTTGGGCTATCTTTCTTTTTCCTTATTACTCATAGGATTTACATATTCTGGACTTACGCAAGTATATTTGGTCAGATACAAGTATGGCAAATATTTTCTACCTTCAGTGCATTGTTTTTCTATTCATTCAAGGATTTTTTAAATGAAAGGTTCTTCATTTTTATTAAATCTAACTTCTCAACTTCCTTTTTTTAAGTAAATAGTACTTTCTATGTCCTGTTTAGGAAATATTGGCTGACCCAAAGGTCATGAAGATATTTTTCCGTGTTTACTTTTAGAAATTATATTATTTAACTCCTTATCTTTATTTGTATGACCCTTCTCAACTTAATTTTGTGTGTAGTGTGAAATAAATATTGAGGTTCGTTTCTGATATGAGTTTCCATTGTATCCAGCACCATTATATGAAGTATAACTTAAGATCTTCAGGCACAGTTCCATGACTTTTGACAAACTATATCCCCATGTAACCAAATGCAATCAAAATATAGAAAAGCTGTTCCATCACCAGAAAGTTCCCTCCTGCTCTTCTCTAGTCAAAGGGCCTGCCCTCAACAAATGTAATGACAGTCTAACATTTGTAATCATAGATGAGTTTTGCTTGTTCTTAAAGTTGTTATAAACACAGTCATATGGTATGCATTATTCTTTATTTTTCTTGGTTACATATCTAGGAATAGAATTGTAACCTTGTATTGTTTATTTTAAAATCATTTTTTCCTCATTAAATTGCGGTGGCAACTTGGTTGTAAAACAGATGTGTATATTTGTCAATCTATTGATGACCTTTTTATTCTATTCCATTGGTTTATTTTTCTACTCTTATTTAAATACCACATGGTAGTAATTAGTGTAGCTCCATACAAAGTCTTAATATATACTAGTGTGACTCCCATGGCTTTTTCTTCTTCAGTATTGCCTTGACTATTATAGTCTTTGCATTTCCTCATAAATTGTACAATTTTCCTGTCAATTTCCACAAAAATCCTACTGGGAGTTTGATTGCATTTGCACTATCTTGCTCAAATAAAAGAACTGCAATATTGAGTCTCTAATTCTAGAACATTATATAGCTATTTATTTCTCTCAGCAATGTTTTGTGGTTTTCAATGTAAAGAACTTGCACAGCTTTCATTATACTGATTCATTAAGAGTTTAATGCTTTTCAGTGCTATTGTAAATGATATTTTAAAATTTCATTACGTGTTTGCTAGTCTATAAAAATTTGCACACTTTTGTTTATTGACTTTGATTCTAGCGAAATTACTAAAATTCACTTAACTTCAATAGTTTGTATATCATTTGATTTTATATGTACACAATTGTGTTAGTTGAAATTAATGACAACTTTATGTCATTTTCTCATAACTTTTCTCTTGTTTTGCCTTATTGCAATGGCTGAAATGCTCAGTTAAGTGTTGAATAGAAATTGCAATATTGGACATCCTTGCCCTGCTCTGAAACTCATGGAGAAGATGTTGAATATTTTACTCTTAAGTATGATGTTAAAATGGCAGCTTTAAAAAAATTGACAGTTTTCACCAGATAAAAGATTTCCCTCTAGTTTGTTGACATTTTTAAAAATAAGAATGGGTATTGGGTTTCATCAAGTGCATTTTATGCATATATTGAGATAATTGTATATTTTATCCTTTATTCTGTTAATCTGGTGAATTATGTAGATTGATTGTAGAATGCTAAATAAATTTTAAAGTGATTTCAATTGCAGGAAATTTCTCCATAGCCACTAATATTTGAACTAAACTCTTTAGCAAAATACACTTTCAGTATGATTAGAAGTGCTTATTTTATCATGTTAATTTTTAAATTTTATATATATAATAGATTCATGTAATAGATACTTTGTTATCTCATGTACCTCAGTTTTGTCTATCAGGACACATACATAACACGTGGGCTATTTCTTTTACTTTGTCTTTCTTGACTAAAAACTGGTCAGGAGGAATGACCTGGAATAGTCTTCAGTAGGAAGTGGGAGCAGGGAACAGAGGTGCCTGGTTCTTGGTGGCATAGAGGAGTTGCCTGTCTAGTCCTCATATGCTTATCCTTAAAATTTGTGTTCTTCATGATAAATCTCCTTTACAGATGAGTTTCTATTACATAAAGCCATAATTCTGGTTAGAAGAGATCATATGTACATAAAAAATTCAAACTGGGCATAAAAAATGTGACATAAATTACATTTTAAAAAATTAACAAGGAGCAATCCCTGGTTTGCATAAGTATGGTTGATAATTTTTCATCTGAATGTTTAGAATTCAGAAATTAATGCCTCATCTGTCTCTTGGCCCAGCCATTTCACACATGCATATCCTGACCATGCTTTATCACAGACTGTTGTCATAAACTTTTCATTTTCTCCCCTGGGAACCAGGAATAAACTGTTACACTCTTGAGGTGAACCTTTGACCAATAAGAGAAGGAAGCAGGTTCACAAATGATTCATTATTTTCCTCTGATGAATTGTCTTGAGATACAGCTTCCGTGGATTCTTGGGAATATTGCTGTGGGATCTAGCTCTCAGTTGTACTTGGGGGTAGCTAACTAAATAATGCATTATCATTTTAACTCTCCCTCCTCTCTTGTTCACTTCTTTGTCCCTTACTTCTCTTCCTGGGATCACCTCCCACCCACACCCCATTAGATTAGCACCAGTTAAGCCCTCTGCTTCAGACTCTACTTTCTGGGAAACCAAAGCTAAGACAATAAATTCCTGTATTCTGTGTTTGTAATCATTCACAGATATCACTACATCATGCAATTATCAAGAAAATCTACTTCTGCCAATAATTTTCAAAAACATCGTTATTACACAATTATTTTAAATTTCAACCATCTCTTCCCACCCCTTAAATCAGTCATGTTTATCCAGGAAAAAATATCTCCTAATACCTTCTAAATCAGAAAATAAAAAATTTAAGACTATGTAATCCCTTTACATTCCTTCAGGAACTATTTAGGTTGTATCTACATTTCAAAAGCCAAGATACACCAGAAAAGCTTGGGCACCATCAAGCCTAGAAGCCTAAATTGATGAAACAACTTATCTGGTTAACTTGTAAGTTTAGATGTTTATCTTCCATTTCTTAATTTATAAATTTCATATCAAATTTATGTGACAGTTTAAAACTGTTTAATACTCATGACATCTAATGAATATAAAAATTATCTTTTAAATAAAAATATGGTATATTTTGAGTTCTTCCAATTAAAATCAGAATATGAATAAAAATTTCTGTTAACAAAGCAGTATATTTCAAAAGCCCTTTTTAAGAGAGAAGTCACATTGATACTTATTTCTAAACCTGAAAAAATGTGAAAAAAAATGCTTTAGAATTGTGCTTCTTCATATTGATTTGAAGGAGTGACCCTCAGTTACATGAGAGATTCTCAGATGGGCGATAACCAAAACATTAAATGATAGCAGGAGTTTCAGTAAAGGCCAGGCTCAAGTATCTAAGAGTCTTGATAGAAATTACTATTCTGCCTCAAATTTATTTCTCAATTCTTCATGAAGCCTTTATCAAATCTGAATGTAATTTCTGCATTTTTAACTAAAAGCATTATGTTACCAAAATTAAAAGCCAAGTGGAAGGAACAATGCTTTAAATTGTGTCATTTAGAAAGTATCACCACAAAAGCAACAAGCATATCTGATATTTATTAAATGCTTTTTACATGTCAAGATTGAATATTTCATATGATTTAATTTTCTGTCAGCACAATCTTCAGAGACAGTTGTAATTATTATCCCCATTTTATAGATGAAGAAAATAAAGCCAAGAACATTGGGGTAAATTGCCCAGAAATGAATGGAATTGAAATTTGGACTCAAGATGTCTGACTTCATGCTAATAATGAATAAGTTTTTAAAAAATACTTTGTTGACTGAATTCTTTCTTTACCACTAAAGCAGCTATAACATGCTTCAGTAGTTTCCTGACAAGTTAAAGATATAATCTCATGTGGTGTATGTGAATGACAGTTTAACAAACAGAGAATCAGCATATCTTCCAGGTGATAAACCCAACACCTGGGCAACGGAAATTTTCTGTTAGAGAGATTTGAAAACACCAAAGAATTCTAAGACAAGCACATCATCTTGTTTTACAAGCAGTCACACAGGAAGTCCATAGGCTTGTTCCACAAATGTTTCGATTACTCAAAATGTTTTTGGAAACTTCTTTGGGAACTGCCTTTAGGACTAGTGTCTAAGCTGCAAAATAAAATCATCAACATTCTTTTTTCTTTCCTCGTGAATCAGAAGAACATCACAAAGCTTCAGCAAGTTCAATTCTGCTCTCAAGAATCAAATTCTACCCTTAAGACTCAATTTTTACCACCACTTAAGATCATTTAAAAACATATATGCCAGGTTCTGGATGAAATTCCCAAAACATTCTAAAGAAAATCAGTTAAGTACTGAAATGAAAGAAAAACTATTATTTGGGATGCACATGTACTTTTTTTCTTATATATTTTTGGGGATGCATAAGATATTTAAGGAGATATTTTAATACAGATATTATCTCATAGTTATGTCTTAACTACTTTAGTGTGAGTAAATTTTGACATCCATCTAATGCAGAGCTGAAAGACTATGAACTGAGGGCTTGAGGACAAGAACGCAGTATAGAGGTTTGGAGAAATATGCTTAGCCTGCTTCACAAGCATCCAGAGAATTATGTGGAAATTTAACCTGTGGGTTCTGCAATAATTTTCTCTCCTTTCATGTTTCAAAAGGCGGTTCTTGGGCTGATATCTGTTGCACAGTGTGATTTATGTCACAGAAATCTTTCCAGTCAACTGATATGTCTCATCTGAACTTAATTTCCATTGATGGTCCTTTCAGTCAAAGTAACAAAATTGGACCTAGGTGCATTTAGCTGCTTTCTAAAAATGCAATATTTTCTACGCAGATTTTGATTCCTGTATGTACTGGCCCCTTGCCTGTTTCTGTAAGCTGCAGACCAGCAGGAATGCATCACCTTAGGGAAACGCAGGGTTGGAAAATATGAGTGGAACTGCCAAAGCAAAACATTTAAATTGTGTGATTACTTCTCCATTCTTAACATAATAACTGTTTACTTGAGGAGATTATACTTCATCACAATCTCTACTTTAGTCAAAGCAGTTTATGTAACAATTTCATACATTTTCCCATATTTCTTAGAATATGCACTTCTATATTACTGAAATTGCATTCAAAAAAAGCACAGCTTGGGCAAGCCGTTTCTCTAGTCAATTGCTATCATCAACTGTTGACGTAACAATAATGTTAATATTTCCCTACATTGTACAATACTTTCTAGCATACTATTTATATTTAAATAATTTGGAATATTTGTGCATAACTATGTATCGTGGATTTTTGTTGTTGTTGATGGGTCATTAGTGATAAACATTATTTTAATACCTACCCACCTTAAAGCTTGAAATGTAAAACTAACAGTCATTTGAGTATATTAAATAAAAGATACCCCAATAGGTTTGACATAGCTTAAAGCTTTTCCCTAAAAAAGGACTAGAGCTCCTAAATTATTTAAAAAATGTATTTTTTCTTTGTTCTGCACAATACAAATAACATGTGAAATAAAAATTAGCACTTTCTCTAAACAAAAACTTAACACAAGTAAATCTGCTGTACACATTTTACTGCAACTTTAGCCTTTGACCTTTTAACATTTTATTTTCCTATATGACTGTACATAGCAAACACTGAATAAAGTACAGGGCCATTAATTATTCCCAAAACAAGGACATTTCCTAATGTTATTTGAGTTGGTTCACCATTTCAAGAGAGAAGTTTGAACTTTGCTATAGAAATGGGCAATTATTTACAATTTTTTTACTCATGCTGTTTTCTTTCTTTCTGGAAGTCTATTAATAGGGTTTTAAGTCATCTTCACATGCAGATCTGAGGTGCTTGACAAGAAACAGAGACATGTACTGTGTATTTTGTTGACTACAGAGAATTTTCTCTTACTTGATTTGATCAATCTCAGAGGAAGACCTCTATGTGAAATGAATGCATATACATGAATAAGCTACAATTTCATTCCACTTCTTTTGTACTGTACTCAAAACACCAGGCTTAAAGGAAGAAAAAAAAATGGCCCTTGAAAGCTGGTGTTTCATACAAACAGCTACAGATTAATATGTACATCACAAACAAAATGAGTTTAAGGTAATCACATAAACACTCAATGGCTTAGAATATGAGTATAGAGAAGTCAAATTGACAAGTTGGACTGTTGAGATTTCCTGATTTTGAAACAAATCAGAACATCGTTAATCTTTCATGGATTTGCATTAATCTTTGGAAGTTCTCACAAAAATAACTATTTACAAACTATCACACTGAGAATTCTCTATGTGTCTGATTCCCTAATGCATTTCTAAAATATTGGTTATACTTTTTTCTATTTTATGTTTGCCAGGCAAAATATGTTATATTAATTATTGTTTTAATAAAGAAGCTAAGTTGATGTCCCAACTATAGAATTTTCGCCAAAATTCATTAGTGGTGGAAGGCATTTATAACACAAATTTTAATGAAGTAAGAAAACTTTCCTCACTAACATAGACATTTGGGTTAACCAGGATATGTAGCATAATTCGGCCTGATAGCCAGCTTATATTAAAAGGATTTGGAGGGAACAACTGGAAATGTGATGTTCTCTTCAATCCTACATCCTCAACATTCAACTTCACACAGGAAGAATAGAAGAAAATTGTGTCATGTTATATGCTGAATAGGTTCAAATCAATTTGAAAAATGCCCATACTCTAACACAAAAATAAATTAGAAACATCTAGATTTTAGTTTCTAACGTAGGATTACTGTGATGGATCTCACTCTGCATCTTACAGCACACCACCACAATTGTCCACAACATGAACTCTTGTTTTTCCCCATCTACTTACCTCACTATTTCTTCGGCACAAGTCTTGTGCCCTTAATGTGCCTTCTTTCTATTATTTATGTATATTTGCATCCATTAACAATAGTAAATATAGTTTTGATAAATGAACAATAAAATGGTATTTTTATCTAAATATCTTTATTTATCTTACTTTTGCCCAGTGTTATGTTTTTGAATATTTGCTGACATACATCAGACTGCCTGAGAGTGAACTGATATGAGTTATTGGTTCTCACACATTTTAGGAAGTGTGTGCATGTATGTGCATACACACACCAACTAGAAAAACAACCAATTAAAGGAGTCAAAATAACTAGCCAGACTAGTTTTTGGTATTGTGAAATGATAACCAAAGGCTGATTCATTCACTCAGGAACATCAGTCAGTCTATTTAGGTCAAATAATTGATGTAATTTTTGTCTCAATTGAATGGTTATCAAGACCTTTATGAAGGGCTTACAGTGTTGTTCCATC
Organism: Homo sapiens; assembly: GCF_000001405.40. Taxonomy (NCBI): domain Eukaryota; kingdom Metazoa; phylum Chordata; class Mammalia; order Primates; family Hominidae; genus Homo; species Homo sapiens. The sequence continues at coordinate 57,677,644 of NC_000002.12, forward strand.
TTTGTTGCCTAGTAAAAGGTCTGTTAGAATAATGTCTTGATATTTAACTGGAAGTCATTAGTCTTCTTAGAATCCGCTTGCCAAGCTCTTAGTATTTTTATTAATATTTATAACATTGCTATTTCAAGGATAACGTTTTAAATCAACAAAAGGACAGAGACCTTGAATCGGTATTGTGTCCCACTAAGCAACGCAGGTGTCAGTGATTCAAGTCTCTCATTAGCATAATATCAATGTGTAGTCTTCCTACCCAGTAAGTCTTTGCTTTTAAAAAAAATCTCAATTTCTGTAAGTTTACATTTTCTAATATAAGCGTTTTCTTAAAGTGAAAACAATAAATCAGTTCTTTACATAAGAAATACTTTACTTTTAAATATTCTTCTATAAAACAGAATCATGCAGCTTCCTTTTAAAAGCATTGGTGACATTTAAATGAATCCTATTAAGATTTTTAAATATATATATAATGTATATAGGTAATAAATAAATGTGTTAATTAATTTAAACAAATAAGATACCCATGAGAATTACCGTTAATTTAAACTTAGTCTTTTGGTGTGGTGCCTTATATCCAAGAGATTGATTTGCATAGTTGTTCAGTCATGATTTCCTGGCATGTTTACTTTTCTTAATGAAGAGGCTAAAATTACTGAAACCTTTAAGGTATTGAGTCTTTAAGAGTAGTAGAAGAATATTGAAGTCATCTAAGGAGATTTTTCAAATCATATATATTTCCTTTATTTACCTTAGCAGATATATTTTTTTACATATGACAAAAGATTGGGCACATTTATAAAATGTTCAAAATATATAGTATGCTAAACTCCAAATCTAGGAACCACACCGTACATATGATATTATTATGTCTATTTTATACATGAGGCAACCGAGAACCAGGAAGGAAGGTAATTTGCCCTAGGTCACCTAGAGAGGCTTTGAGCCAAGATTTAAACTAAGGTCCTTGTGATTCCAAAGCTCATAGTTTTCCTGGGTAATCCCCATGTTTGAGGAAATGGCTTCATCTACAATGAGCTAAACTTTGAGACACATTAGGATCTCAGAAATCAGCCCTCAAGTGAAGAAGTCAACTTTCAAATTGCTGTCTGAAGTTGGCCGGGCATCAAAATTACCTTGTTGAAAAAGAATATAGGAAAGAGTGTGATCTCATTAATGAGACTATGGGACTCTTCAGGCAGTGGCAATATGAAAAGAAAAAATAAGTAGTTTGCACTTTTTGGGGAAAAATGAGCAAAAAAATGCTCACTTTTAACCCATTTCAATTTAAATAAAGTAGTGTGCAAACTAGGTTATTCTTACCTTACTGATGTCTCAAACTTCTCCAATTAGAGATAATATTTTCTCTTTAGAAGTAATAAGGGTCTTTCTAATTATCAGTTGTCATCAAAGAGGAAACATTTAGCGTAATCTATGCTGGCCATAATTTGTAAACACGAAAATACATTATAGGCAACACTAGTAAAATGGAGCAACTTCTTTAAAAATGGAGTCTCTTACACAGAGAAAAACCACACAAAATGTATGGGTAACATCCGGGCATTGCAAAGAAAACTTTCTGATTTATAATATTTTCTTACCCACTTAGGAATACTTTAGGATAGAAAGGGATATCAAAATCTAATTTCTTTTTCTGTATTACAGACACAACTATAAGATGATATTCACTAGATAGGATCACTAGGTAGAACCCATTTACAACTGCTATACTTTTTGAAAGTAAGGCAATTGTCTGAGATATGCATTTATTACAAGCCTACTGCAACTAATAGGAGTTGATGATGGCTTTTAAGAAAAACTACAGAATGTCAAATGGAAGCTGTCTCTACTTAACAAATACACTAGGCTCAAAAATCAAAAGAAAAGACACGTAAGGCGATGTTTATTCATCTATGCTCTCAGTAACAAGTTTTTAAGGTATTCACGCATCTCATTGTTTGTCTATTTTTACAAATATGTGGTGTCATTCAAAAATGACACATAGGACATCCTGTCTGTATATATTTAATGCAAAGAGTAAAAAAGTAAATGAAATACTCATATGGTTCCTTTTAAGTTTTCAACATGAACAAAAACATTTCTCATAAATTTGTTGTGAGAGCTTTTGAAAAGGAATCGTACCTCGTTGATTTTTGAAATGTAATGAGTTTAAAAGTAAAAATAATTCTGTGCTCTACATTTTTCATTTCTATTATTTTTAAAATATCAACTAGAGTGTATCGATTGGGGAACACCGTTGCATGCAAGCTTGTGTGTTTTTTATCTGTGTACTAGAAAAAAATTCTAGTAAATGTTATGCTAAAAACAACTATAATTATAAAAGATAGAAGTGGTAATAAGAGTATATGCAAGAAATTATTTATATGCTTTCAATTACATATTATTAACAGTAGTATTAGTATTGTTATTTTGATACTGTTGTGTGTGTAGAATGAAACATTCTATCATCCCCTATATATTTAAGAACCAGGCTTTTTGGCATGGCAGAAAGGAAATATAGATGTAATTAAAAAGTGATTAAATTCAAAAAACTCTACAGTGCTGAATTTGAATTATAAGTAGCTATATGAACCTATGAGTCACAAACAGACACACACACCCACATATCCTATCTCTGCCCACTAAAAAGATTTAAAAACAAAAAACAAACAACTGTGAACAGTAACACTGGTGGCTGCATACTGTGGTCTTGAAGTACCATTTTACACTAAAAGAACCCAGAGCTGGTGAGAAAATGGCAGTTACAGTTACATAAAACCGGAGCATCCTGTCATACTAGATTGCAAGGGAACTATCAAAAATCTAATAGAGTTGTATCAAAATAACGCCATAGTGAAACTGAAAAGTCTCCCACCAGTCCAAGGTGAAACAATTTGAGCTTCAATGGTGATAATAATTAGAACTGGGTGAAACTCATCCAAATATTTAAAACTATAAATTGCTAATACTAAGTATTAGAAAAAAGAAATGGCTACATTTGGAGGATAATAAGAATCTAATTTTCTTAATCATTGATTTTAAAAATTAAGCAATTATTCTGCTTTTTTATATAAACTGAAGCACTGGGTAGCCAAACAGCAAATGAGAGAAACCATCTCCTTTTTAAGGTATTTTAGCTAATAATGAAAAAGAATTTATGGAATTTGAATATAATCAAATTTTGCAACCCCACAAGTTAATTAATCTAGGCATTGAATATTAACAGCTATAGAAATCACAGAAAAAGAAACATCCAGACACTTTGCTCTCCTAAAAAAAGACACCTAAAATCTTGTCAGAGGGTTAGTACCTGATTCTGATAAATCCCCTGGATTCAGCTGCGAAATTTTAGAAAATACAGAAGACAGGTTGAATCATCTAGAGTTTATAATCAGCAACATTCAGGCTTTGAAACTCTGCAGAGAAAAGGTTTGTATCCTTCAGAAAATAAATGACAAGGAAAAGAAAGTGAGAGGGTAAATTGTAGATTAACAGAAAATTTTAAATCATCAAGTGCAAAACTGGAAAAGACTAAACTATACCCTCTTGGAACATGCACTTAAATGATAAGACTATTTTAAAATTCAAGGAAGTAATTGCTGTAAAAGTCAGGATAGTGGTTACTTCTGGAAGAGGTAGGAGGTGAAATAAGGATAAGGCACATACAGGGACAAAGGCTGAAGAAATTTTTCATTGTTGACCTGGGTGGTGGTGAAGAGGTATTCACCTAAATTAAGTCATTAAGCTGCACATTTGGTTTTCCAGATCTGTATTTTATTTTATAATAAAAAGTTTAAATTAAAATAAAAATTATTGATATTCAACTGATATTTTATGCCAATTTTAGTTTAAAATTATTCATCTCAGTATAAAAAATAAGCATATAAGTTACTTATATGTATTTTTGTGAATTCTTAGTAATTTAAATAATTAGGGTTTTTTTTTATGTTTTATGGCTATCAGACCTATAAGCTAAGAATGAAAAATAGATTTCATTTAAGGCAGTATTGATGAAAACCAAATAATTGCTTCAAAATATATTTTATCTAATGGAACCTGACAATGTGGGAGATATAGCAATATCTGGAGATTTCATTGTAGTGAGGCTGCCATCTTTTGATCCTCAGTATCAGAGAAACTAAGCTTCCACTTGCTGAGATGAGAGCAGAAATGAATCATGCCAGAGGCTGATATTATAGAAATCGCTTCCAATCCTTCTGGTCACTTCACTGGGTAAAGTGTCACCATGAGCAGAAAGCCAATCCCCTGTAATGATGATTTACAGTTGGAAAGTGGCTTTAGGACAGATTTACTGTTGCCCTACTCACACCACTCTGTTTCTATCACCAAAAGATATTTTTCCTGTAAAAAGTAATGTTAGGAAAGGACATATACATCAGAGCATTTTAATAAAGCCCCTTCCTTTTCTCCCTCAAATACAGTGAGCAGTTAGAAAAGAAAGAGGAAAATATGTACTAAGGGGCTGAATAAAATATTGAAGGCATTCAAATCTTGTACAGCAGAAAACAAACATTTCAGCAAATATTCAAGTCACTAGACATGTTTTCTTATTTTAAAATCTTAGGGTATGCTAACAATTACAAGAATGACACATCTTCAGAGGGTGTATGTAAAAATGCATATTTTTCTTCATCTCAAATATAATGTTTCCACAAATAATAAATAATAATAGCTCTCATGTATTGGTCACTTACTATGAAACAGGCCTTGTTCTAAGTACTATACATAAATATTATCATTAATCTTCCAAACAAAAAGAGTACAAGGCTGGAGTTTGGAAGTTAACTAATTTGATTAAAGTTATATAGCTTACTCTCTTTGCTTACTATACTGATACAAAAAGATGTTAAAATGTTAAATATCAGCTATGGCTCAAAGATAATCCCTCCACAAGAAGGATTAGATGAAGTGAAAATTTTCCAACAGAGATTGCTTTGGTCTAAGTGTGTCCTCATCACCCCCGCAACCCCCAAAATTCTTAGGTTGAAACAATCTTCAGTACAGTGGTGTTGGAAAGCTGGAAGGTGTTGGAAGGTGGGGCCTTTGCGAGGGATTAGTGTCATTATGTAAGAAGTCTGAGGAAGCTTGTTCACCCCTCTGCCATGTGAGAAGGCAGCAAGAAGTTACTATCTTTGAAGAAAGTGAACCCTCACCAGGCACTGAATGCACTGATGCTTTGATCTTGGACTTCATAGCCTCCAGAACCATAAGCATTGAATTTCTACTCTTTATAAATTACCCAGTCTAAGATATTTTGTTTTCCTGAATGGACTAAGAGAAAAGTGTTCAACATATAGTTCTTAACCACTTCCCACACACAGATGTGTCAGTGATTCTCTTGGGCTATAGGGGCCTTGTCTGAAAAAGGGTTCACATGGTTTTCCCTAAGTACTATCCAAGAAGGATACCTAGAGAAAAAAAACTGGAAAGAAAAACAGGAGAGGCTAGAGGTATGACTAGATTCTTAGAAGTAGAGGAGGCAGTAAGTTATCAAGCCAAAATGGAGAAGCATTTGACCATTCCAAATGAACTTCCAGGGAAAAATTCTAAGAAAGAGGGGAATTATCCAAAGAAGCCATAAACATGCCTGGATGAGAGACAGACACAAAATTATTGCCGGAAACATCTTCAGTGTTCAGAAAGCACCAACATCAATTAATGCCAGTGTGAATCCAGTAGGACATTTTCTGACCTCTTTAATCTCTTCCCTCCCCAAACACCAGCTCTAAGTGGTCAGAAATTACTATGGTGAACAAGCTGGTGAGAGGAGCATATAAGCCTTAGATGGGGTAAGAGAAGAGAAACCAGCTCTCCTGCCCTGATGTAAGACTTCCCATCTGCTACAGAGGAAGGAGAGGAGTCCAAATTGTAAAGAAATTTTGAGTTTTGAAAATTACCTGTTACTGATCTTTCTAATTACTGAACTGAGACTGTTTTGTGGTTTAACTTGACTGTAAGACATTTTATATTTATTATTATTATTTAAGAAAATGCCATGAGGCCTGCCAAGGACAGAGAAATAGTTGTCCCAGAGATAAATCTAAAGGGAAAAAGGAAACTAATATAAAGTCATTTTTGGATTACACTCCCTGAGTTGTGCTTGTTCAACATAAAAATTACATTGACATTTATGCTTCTGACCAAGTGTGGACTTCATGACATGTAAGTAGGAATGATTATTTTTGCCATCATGCTATTGTTCTTATATGCCTCATACATAAGCCCTTTTTCATTCAGAGAAACTACAGTTGATATTGTTATTTATATGCCAAAATAGTGTTTAAAGGAGACTAACTTACAGTTCTTGTTTGCAGGGAGTATTTTTACTCTGAAAGGCACAAGCCTTCTATGAGTTGTCTACGAAATATCATCCTTCTTACAAATCAGCTGCAATTGTGCTTTTGTGTTATTTGTTTCACTTATATGGAATTTATTCACTGGCTTCTATTATAATTTTGATCACATATACATGTTTAATTATTATCATGTATGTGTGCTCTTTCCCTATTTAGATGGCATTCTCTTTAAGGACAGGTATTTCAATATATTACTTTTCAAATCAATCCATAGTGCCTGACAGAACTTTATTCATAGAGCTTAAGAAATATATAAATTCTGGCCGGACGCAGTGGCTCAAGCATGTAATCCCAGCACTTTGGGAGACCGAGGCGGGCGGATAATCTGAGGCCAGGAATTCGAGACCAGCCTAGCCAATATGGTGAAACCATGTCTCAACTAAAAATACAAAAATTAGCTGGGCATGGTGGCGCACGCCTGTAGTCCCACCTACTCGGGAGGCTGAGGCAGGAGAATCGCTTGAACCCAGGAGGCAGAGGTTGTAGTGAGATGAGATGGCGCCACTGCACTCCAGCCTGGGTGACAAAGCAAGACTCCACCTCAAAAAAAAAGAAAGAAAGAAATATATAAAGTCTGGAAATATAAGTTAACAAACTCAGTTTCATTTTGTGACCTCAAATACTTGTTTCCATTTCAATATCAGCTTGATACAAAATAGATCAGTGTTTAGCTTTATGCTAAAGAAAGCTTTCAAATAAAGATGCATTTAGCTGTGTACTTGTATTTAAAAGTCTGCTGTCAGTATATTAATATTTTTTAATTAATTAATTTTAATTGACAAATAAAAATTGCATGTGCATTTGCCGGGGCAAGAGGGCTGACTAGATGTAGCCAGAAAATGCCTCTTCTACTGAGAGGAACCAAAATTTCAAGTAAATCATCACACTTCAAACAGATCTTTTGAGAGAAAACACTGAAAATCAATAGGGAGGTGATGCAGACACTGTGGCTGAAGAAGGAAGAAACTGGGAAGCCTGCTCAGAGATGCCAAGTGCCAGGACTGGCCTCTGGCCCTGAACTGGACCTAAGGAAGGGCTAAATGAAGGAACTCTGTAGCACCACACTCTCACTGCAGACCTTTGGGGTCTTAATTAGTGGCATTCCCACAACCCCCATAGACATTTAAACTGGCATATGGAGCCACCTGGAGATCAGGCAGAGGCACAGCTCAAACCTTGGCAGAACCCAGAAGGTTTCACTGCTCAGTACAGCTGCAACAAAACAGCACCGTAAGGCACCCATCCCCACAAACCCCTGATCTTTCACTCAGTGGCTGCAGCTTCTGCTCTCTACCAGGCCAGAAGACAGCAGGGTTGCCATTGCTGCAGGACTGTGGTGCATCCAATCGATGAGTTTCCTCACTGGTTGGCCCCTCCTAAGAGTGCCTGTCTGGCCACTCTAACAGGATGGTGTCCACAGCACAGCTCCCACCCCCACTACTCCCATACCACCTGAGTTTTTGGCTGGTGGCCTAGAAGCAGTTCAGCCCCTCCAGCACAGCCAGTGCCCAACCCCCAGGGGCCGGAGAACAAATCCATGGGCCCAGTACCAACTCCTCAGGAATTGAGCACACCACCCACGGGTATCAAGTTGAGATCTGGGGCCAGAACTCAAGCAAAGGAGGAGCCCCCACTCTCAGAAGAGAGAGGAGTGAGGTGCAGGTTTGTGTGCCGGTGCAGGAACTTGCCATCCCTCCCTCCACAAGACTGGTCTGGAAAGAGTGGGGCCTAACAGCCAGCCGCAGTTCCTTCCCCAGGGGGTTCTATGGCCCAGATCATCTGGAATGGCTCAGCAACCTGGGCATAGAAGGCTTAGGACAAGCCTAAATCGTAGGGCCTGTTCCTGGGGCGGACATGGATGAAAAGCTGTCGGGTTGGGGGAGCATCAGTTGGGCAGGCACCACAGCTGTTGGCTAGGCTGAAAACCCCAAGCTGCAGCTGTCTTCTTAGTTGTATATCCATGGTAATACTGCCATGACCAGGGATCGTCTGCCCTTGACCCACTGTACCAACAGACCACTAACAGACATAACCTCACAACCTGCTCTGACTCTCACAAGCATAGGGGACCAGTGGACACCTGGCAAGTTGAAGATCTCCTGGTGACCTAACCCTCATCTGTGACTGCACCTAAAAGAGGAAGGAGGGCAACCCACCAAAGCTCCTCTTGGGGCAAAGGGAACGTAAGCTCAGTGCCATTAGTTGAAGGGGACATCACCAAGGCCTGGAAAATGACTTAAGAGGGACTTATCTCTCACTCTCCTGCCTCCCCTCCTCAGAGCACTGCTGTACACACACTGAAAAACAAAAGGGGTGCACAACTGAGTAACATCCTATCTGCTAGCCCTTACTCTTACATGCTATATAGTGGACTGAAGCCTTAATTATACCACCAAACAAATATGCATTCCTCCAACACACAAAACATCTGAAACCCACCACAGGATCCTATCTACAACCGAGGAACCTTTGCAGAGACATGGCCATCTGAAAGTACCCGGAAACAAAACCAATTGACTATAAACAACATCCACACAGTCAAACCCTCAAGAGATATAAGATAAAAAACAAAAAGACCTTTCCAAGTAACAGCAAATTCAAACAGAAACAGAAACAGCAGTTCCCTCAGATAAGAAGAAATCAGCTCAAGAACTACAGTAATTCAAAAAGCCAGAGTGTTTCATTAACTTTAAAGGATCACACTCACCCTATAACAATGAATCCTAACCAGATTGAAATGTCTGAAATGACAATAATAGAATTCAGAATCTAGATGACAAGGAAGCTAAACAAGATGCAAGAGAAAGTTGAAATCCAATTTAATGAACCCAGAAAAAAAGATTCAACATTTAAAAGATGACATGGCCACATTAAGAAAAAAAACAAAGTAAACTTCTGGAATTGAAAAATTAACTACAGAAATTTGAAAACAAAATTAGAAGTCCTTGCAAAAGATTAGACCAAGCAGAAAGAAAAAAAAAAAATCAGAGCTCAAAGATTGGTCCATTAAATCAACCCAGTCAGACAAAAATAAAGAAAAAACACTTTAAAAAATGAACAAAGCATCCGAGAGTTATGGGATATGTAAATCAACCAACTCTATGCCTCACTGGCATTGCTGACAGAGAAAAAGAGAGAGTAAGCAACTTGGAAAACATATTTGAGGATATAATCCATGAAAATTTTCCCAATCTCACAATAGAGGTCAGCATGAAAATACAAGAAAATCAGAGAACCCCTGCAAGCTTCTCTACAAGATAAACATTTTAAGGCACACAGTCATCAGATTTTCCAAGGTCAGCACACAAGAAAAAATCTGAAAGGCAGCTAGAGAAAAGGGTTACATAGTGTAAAAAGGGAACCCAATTAGACTGACAGTGGATTTCTCAGCAGAAACCTTACAAGTGAGAAGGGAGTAGAGGCCTATTTTTAGCATTCTTATAGAAAATAAATTCTAACCAAGAGTTTCATATCGGCCAAGCTAAGCTTTATAAGTGAAGGAGAAAGAAAATATTTCCCAGACAAGCAGTCACTAAGGGAATTTTTTACCATGAGACCAGCCTTACAAGAGAGGCTTAAGGGAGTTTTAAACATGGAAACAAAAGAAATATACCTGCTATCAAAAAAACAAATATAAGTACATATGCCACAGACCCTATTAATAAAACAACACAATTGAGACTACAATGCAACCAATTAACACCACCACAACAGAAACAAAACCTCATATATCAATATTACCCTTGTGTTGGGAATAGGCCCCCCAAAATCTGGCCATAAATTGGCCCCAAAACTGGCCATAAACAAAGTCTCTGCAGCACTGTGACATATTCATGATGGCCATAATGCCCACGCTGGAAGTTTGTGGGTTTACAGGAATGAGGGTGACGAACACCTGGCCCTCCCAGGACAGAAAACCACTTAAAGGCATTCTTAAACCACAAACAATAGCATGAGTGATCTGTGCCTTAAGGACATGCTCCTGCTGCAGGTAACTAGCCCAACCTATTCCTTTATTTCTGCCCATCCCTTCGTCTCCCATAAGGGATACTTTTAGTTAATTGAATATCTATAGAAACAATGCTAATGACTGGCTTGCTGTTAATAAATACGTGGGTAAATCTCTGTTCAGGGCTTTCAGCTCTGAAGGCTGTGAGACCCCTGATTTCCCACTTCACACCTCTATATTTCTGTGTGTGTGTCTTTAATTCCTCTAGCGCTGCTGGGTTAGGGTCTCCCTGACTGAGCTGGTCTCGGCAGCCTTGAAGGTAAATGTCCCACTTAATAGACACAGAGTGGCAATTTGGATAAAAATCAAGGCCTAAACTTGTGCTGTTTTCAAGAGACCTGTCTCACATGTAAGACACCCATAGGCTCAAAGATCAATTACACAAATAGAAAACAAAGTAGACAAAGTAGAGCAGGGGTTGCTATTCTTGTATCAGATAAAACAGACTTTAACAATAGTGTAAAAAAAAAGGGGGATACAGAAGGTTGTTACATAATGGTAAAGGTTTCAATTCAACAAGAAGAATTTAACTTTCCTAAATATATATGCACCCAATATTGGAGCACCCAAATTCATAAGAGAAGTACTGCTAGACCTATAAAAAGACTAAGACAGCCAGACAATAGTAGTGGAGAACATTAGCACCCCACTAACAGAGTTAGATCACCAAGGCAGAAAACTAGCAAAGAAATTCTGGAATAATTGACTTGACTAATTGGACCTAATAGACATATACAGAATACTCCACCCAATAACCACAAAATATACATTATTCTCATTTGCACACAGTACATACTCTCAGATAAGCCACATGCTCAACCATAAAGCCACTCTTGATAAATTCAAAAAAGGCAAAATTATACCAAGCATATACTCAGACAAAAGTGGAATCAAAATAGAAATTAATACCAAGAGGATCTCACCACACAATAACAGAAATTAAACAACTTGCTCCTGAATGACTTTTGGATAAATACCCAAATTAAGGCAGAAATTTTAAAAAATCTTTGAAATAAATGAAAACAGAGAAATAACATTCCAAAATCTCTGGGATATGGGGAAAGCAGCGTTAAGAGAAAAGTTCATAGCACTAAATGTCTACATCAGGAAGTTAGAAAGATTTCAAATTAATGACATAATATTGCACCTAAAGGTACAAGAACAAACTAATCACAAAGCTAGCAGAAGAAAAGAAATAGCTAAAATCAGAGCTAAACTAAATGAAATTGAGATTCAAAAAACCATACAAAGGATTGATAAAAAATGAAAAATTGCTTTTTTGAAAGGATAAATAAGATCCATAGGCTGCTAACAAGATTAACAAGAAAAAATGAGAGAAGATCCAAATTAATACAACCAGAAATGATTAATGTGACATTAGAACTGAGCCCACAGAAATGCAAAATATTCTCAGAGACTTCTGTGAACACTTCTATGCACACAAATGAGAAAATCTAGAAGAATGGGTAAATTCCTGGAAACATACAACTTCCCAATATTGAATCAGGAAGAAATAGAAACCCTGAACAGACCAATAACAAGTTCCAAAATTTAATCAGTAATAGAAAAACCTACCAAGAAAAAAATAAAAAAGCCCTGGACCATATGGATTCCCAGACAAATTCTATGAGACATACAAAAAAGAGCAGGTACCAAACCTACTGAAAATATTCTAAAAAAAAAAATGAGAAGGAGAAGTTTATTTCTAACCTATTCTAAGAAACTAGTATTATCTTGATTCCAAACTCCAGCAAAGACACAACAAAAGAAGAAAACTACAGGCCAATATCCCTAATGAACACAGATATGAAAATCCTCAACAAAATACTAGCAAACTGAATTCAGCAGCACATCAAAAAGTTAATTCACCACTATCGAATGAGCTTTATTCCTGTAATGCAAGGCTGGTTCAATATATGCAAACCAATAAATGTGATTCACCACATAAACAGAATTAAAAATAGAACTATATGATCACCTCAATAGACACACACAAAAAAGCTTTCCATAACATCCAACATCTCTTTATGATTAAAAAAAAAAACCCTCAACAAACTAGGCATCAAAGAAACATGCCTCAAAATAATAAGAGCCATCTGTCACATGCCTATAGCGAATCTCATACTGAACAGGCAAAAGTTGATAACATCTCCTTAAGAACTGGAATATGACAAGAATGCCTAATCTCATCACTCCTATTCAACATATTATTGGAAATCCTAGCCAGAGCAATCAGGCAAGAGAAAGAAATAAAAGACATCCAAATATGAAAAGACGAAATCAAATTATCTGTCTTTACTGAGGAAATGATTCTATACATAGAATGCCCTAAAGACTCCACCAAAAGGCTCCTATACCTAAGAAATGACTTCAGTAAAATTTCAAGATACAAAATCAAACTACAAAAATTAGTGCATTTTTTACACTCAAAACATTCAAGCTGAAAGTCAAATTAAGAACACAATCTCATTTACAATAGCTACAAAAATAATAAAATACTTGGAAAGACAGCTAACTCAGGAGGTGAAAGATCTCTACAAGGAGAACTACAAAGGACTGCTGAAAGAAATCAGAGACAACACAAACAACTGGAAAAACAATCCATGTTCATGAATTGGAAAAATGAGTATTGTTAAAATATTTATGCTGCCCAAAGCAATCTACACATTAAATGCTATTCTTATCAAATCACCAATATCATTTCTCAAAGAATTAGAAAAAACTATTTTAAAATTTATTTGGAACCAAAAAAGTGCCGGAATAGCCAAAGCAATCTTGAGTATAAAGAACAAAGCCAAGGGCATCACATTACCCACCTTCAAACTATACTACAAGGCTACAGTAAACAAAACAGCATGGTGCTGATTCCAAAAATAGATACATAGATCAATGGAAAGAATCAAGAACTCAGAAATAAATCACCATATCTACAATCTACTGATCTTCAACAAGATTAACAAAAATAAGCAATGTAGAAAGGATTCCCTATTCAGTAAATGGTGCTGGGAAAATTGGCTATCCCTATGCAGAAGAATAAAACCGGACCCTGATCTATCGCTGTACATATACGAAAATTCACTCAAGATCAATTAAAGACTTAAATGTAAGACTTCAAACTCTAAAAATACTAGAAGGAAACCTAGGAAATATCCTTCTGAATATCAACCTTGACAAATAATTTATGAGCAAGTCCTCAAAAGCAATTGCAACAAAAAAATTGACAGGTGGGATCTAATTAAAGTAAAGAGCTTCTTCACAGAAGAAACTATCAACAGATTAAACAGACAACCTACAGAATGGGGGAAAATATTCACAAACTATGAACCCAACAAAGGGCTATTATCCCGAATCTATAAGGAACTTTAAAAAATCAACAAGAAGAAAACAAATAACTCCATTCAAAAGTGGGCAAAGGACATGAACAGACACTTCTTAAAAGAAGACATACAAACAGCCAACAAACATGTAAAAAATGCCCAGCATCACTAATCATCAGGGAAATACAAATCAGAACCACAATGAGATACCATTTCACATCTTTGGTATGGCTATTAATAAAAAGTCAAAAAGTAACACATGCTGGTGAGGCTATGGAGAAAGAGGAATGCTTTTACACTGCTGGTGGGACTGTAAATTAGTTCAGCCACTGTGAAAATCAGTTTGGAGATTTCTCAAATAACTAAAAATAGAGCTGCCATTTGACCCAGGAATCCCATTACTGGGTAGATACCCAAAGGAAAAATAAATCATTCTACCAAAAAGACACATGCACTCATGTGTTCATCACACCAAAGACATAAAATCAATAGAAAAGACATGGAATCCATCTAGGTGCCCATCAATGGTAGAGTGGACAAAGAAAATGTACATATACACTATGAAATACTATGCAGCCATAAAAAGAATAAAATCGCGCCCTTTGCAACAACATGGATGCAGATGGAGGCCATTATCCTAAGCAAATTAACACAGAAACACAAAACCAAGTACCCCATGTTCTCACTTGTAAGTGGGAGCTGAATCTTGGGTACACACAGGCAGAATGATGGGAACAATAGACACTGGGGACTCTAAAAGGAGGGAAGTAAAGAGGAAAGTAGGGAGAGATGGGGACAAGGGCTGAAAAACTTTCTGCTGGGTACTATGCTCAGTATCCGAGTGACAGGATCAACAGAATACCAAACCTCCACATCATGCAATACACCCTTATAATAAGCTTGCATGTATATGCCCTGAATCTAAAATAAAAGTGGAAATTTTTAAAACTTGTACATATTTATTATTTACATGTTGTTTTGAAATAAATATGTATACAATGTGGAATGGCTAAATTGAGCTAGTTAACATATTATGATCTCTCATATTTATCATTTTTTGGTGCTGAGAATACTTCAAAAGTACTCTCAACAATTTTCAAAAATTAAGTATAGTCACCAGGCTAGATCTCTTGAACTTGTTTCTGCTACCTGACTGAAATTTTATATTATTGACCAACATTTTCCCAGCCCCTGGGACAACCATTGTACCTTCTTTCATGAAGCCCACTGTTTCAGACTCCACATTTAAGTGAGATTGTGCAATATATTTGTCTCTGTGTGCCTGGTTTATTTCACTTAATATAATTTCCTCCAGATTCATCTATGTTGTTGCAAATGACAGGATTTCCTTATTTTTAAAGGCTGAATAGTATTCCTTTGTGTATACATGCCACACTTACTTTATCCATTCATCCATTGATGGACACATAGATTGTTTCCCTATCTTGGCTGTTCAGAATAGTGCTGCAATGAACATGGGAGTGCAGATATCTCTTTAACATACTGATTTCATTTTTTATATATAAATGATCTTTTATGTGAAATTTTTGGAATGTGAAAGAAAAGAAGGCAGAAAAGGGCAGGAGAACAAAATTGATTCCTGCATTAGGAAATTACTGGTTTTTTCTCAAGGGAGAGCAGATAGTCATATTTATATGTTGCCTGGAGATTACATGACGACAGAAAAGGTGCTATGTGCACATTTATTCTTAATGTTGTTCAATGTGCTTTGACCTGCCTGCTAATGTTTTAAAATGTGGTTTTCAACATTAAGCTTGTATTATTGCAGATGTTTGCTCCTGTTTTCTCTGACACGGTTGACCCTCTGAGAAACAAAACCTACAAAGATCATTTATTTATTCATTTTCATTCAATTATTTATTCAACAAATGTGTTTGAACATGTACTATTTGCAGTCAATGGGCTTTTAAAGTTCCAGAACTGCACTCCCCACACAGCAGCAGCCACTTTAACCACAATTCCCAGATCACAGTCTCCATTTTCCTATGAGACTGAGCATCAAGTGATTTGGTTTGAATGAGCCACAGTGAATACTGCTGCCTCCTTGCACAACTCCACTAGCTAAGCTAGCATATTGCTTTTCATTTTATATTTAGCTCATCTTCTGTCCTAAATTTAACAATTACTTCAATTTAAAGAAACATGGTAACAAAACTATTTGCAAAGCCAACTACACTTATTTTTCATTTGCTGTTATTTTGATATAGCATTTAAATCTTGTGCACTGACACAAACTGCTGTTGAAAATGGAAGAGTTTAGGGAAACACACTGGGAGATCAGACAGTAGAGCCAGGGTAGCTAAAAATAATCCTGATCCCTTTATGGTTAACCCTATTCAACAAGCTGAAATTTATAATTATTTGATTTTAACTTTAATCCATTTCTGCTCAAGGTAAAGAAAATCAGCTCAAGGTAAAGAAGAGTAAAAATTATCTCTAGAAAAAATATACAATTAAACAGTATGTATTAGGTAACCACAATGCAAATAACTGTGCTATTTAGATGGATAAAAGGAAACACTGTATAATGTTCCTTAAATTTAAATGGGATAGATAAAACATGAAGCATTGAGTTATGTAGAACTCAATTCTACATAACTTTATTCTATGTAAATGTGAGCAAAAAAGAAAAAAATGTATGGAGGCTGTTAAAAAGGTAAAATTAAAGCAGGTCTTGTGGGAAGAAGATAAATTGGGAGTTGGCTCTTGAAAGAAGTGATGTATTTGAACACAAATAGGGACAGTTAAGGGAACCACTGAGGTGGTAATTAGCATCAAATGAGGTCAGTAGTCCATCAGTTCTTTTGGTTGAAGCAGAATCTTGGTTAAGAATTAGTGACAGTAAGTGAAACAGAAAGTTATGGGGTACTAAGAAATACCGGATTGACACAAAGCATAATACTACCCTTGAATAGAAAAAACAGCATAGCGGTGTCAAAGTCATCATCCTAGTAAAAGTTTACTCTTAAAGTTTCACCCACAAGGATATCTATAGAGGTGCTGATTTTCCAGCTGGAGCAGCTATTGATTTGCAAGTACATTCCAATCTTTTTCCAAACTGTCCCAGTAGTGGATATGAAGTGAGAGAGGCAAAGGAAAAGATGTCTTAGCTTTTTAAAAGTAATAAGAAACGGACAAAAGACCAAACACCGCATGTTCTCACTCATAGGTGGGAATTGAACAGTGAGAACGCAGGCACACAGGAAGGGGAACATCACACACCGGAGACTGTTGTGGGGTGGGGGGAGGGGGGAGGGACAGCATTAGGAGATATATCTAATGCTAAATGACCAGTTAATGGGTGCAGCACACCAACATGGCACATGTATACATATATAACAAACCTGCACGTTGTGCACATGTACCCTAAAACTTAAAGCATAATAATAAAAAAAGTAATAAGAAACGTTGATGCCTTATAGAGAATAATTATCTCACCTCATATTATCAGTTGATTTTATTGAAATAGTCACATTATATTTGCATTAAAAGACAGTGTAAGGAACTTGTACAACAATTACAAATAGCAATTGCTTTACTCCCAGTAACATTTTAGTGATGAGTCAAAATTCTCATCAGAAATATCCAGTCTGAAATACCATAGAACTTGTAGACAGTCTTCTATGTAACAAATATTCATTTTTCACTGTGAAGAAAATCATAGAAACTAACCATCAATATTATCAAACAGCAAAATAAAGTTACAGTCTGTACATTCTTAGCTGAGCGTACAGGTCAGATATTTTCAGCCATTTACAGACTACTTAAAGGTTATTACTGCTACTATAAAACAGGAAACTATATACCATGAAAAAAATTACTAATTGAATTTCTGTACAGATGAGCTGCATAAACCTTTGCCTCAGATGTTGATCATCTTAATATTTTCCTTGAACTTAATGATGGAGGCTCCATTCAGTGTATTTTATGTAACTACTTTAACATTGTAGAACATATTACTATGAGCAAAAAATTAGTATTAATAAATCAATTCTCAGCCATAAATATGTTTATGCTATAAGTTTATAAAATGTACAGCACACTAGATTGAGTTCAGTGGTAATAAGGGCATAAATTTGATATAAAACATCTTGGTGATAGATAAATTCTTTCATAATTTCACTACACTATAAAAATTCCCTGTCATTGATATTTTGTCTGGTTATATCTGGCTATTTTGCCCCAATATGAGACAAACGTGATTTAAAAACAGATTGTGAAGAAAAAGTACTTTTCTACAGATGATTGTTTAACAGTTGTGAAGTTGGAGAAAGTACATATTCTGACATATAGGATGACCTGAATCAACTAACCTCATCTTTGCATAATCCTGGCTATTCTTGCTTATTTCTTTATTTGATATGAACTTTTGAACTGCCCTGTCTAATTAAATATAAATTTATCTAAATTTTTATTGGGTCAGCATTAAACTTAAAAATAAACTCAATCACAATGGACATATTAATGATGTTAAATCTTTTCATTAATAAAACATAGTATGCCTTTCTATTTTTTCGATATTCTGTCTTAGGTTGCGTTCCCCCAGTAGACAGACACTGAGATGGAAATTTGCATACCGAAGGTGGATTGAGGATTGTTTATCTGAAAAAAACATCTATGGTGGAGTAAGAAAAATCACGACTGGGCTATGGAGAAAGCTGAACTGGGATGCAGAACAGAAGCTTCAGCCTCACTCGTGGGGAGCTCTGGCGCTAAAAAAACTCATCGAAGATTTCCCAAATTGGAACAAGGCCTCTGTACTCCTGCATTGACCAGTCATGGTATAAAAGCTTCAATTCACCTAAGCGGGGGTTATAACAGTGGATGAGTCAGCTGCCTGAGGCTATGGAGAATGCTCAGGGAGGGACTCAGCTGTGATTAGTTGACAGGCAACACTCCTGGCAGCTGGGAGAATGAGTGCCTTACTCTTGCCAGAGGGGTCTGGTATACACACCATATCATCCACTACTAACCATGTTTATGTTGCTAAGATTCACTTGCTTCATATAATAAGTGTACCCCATCTAGGAACATCTTCTCTAGAATTCTGGTCATCCTCTTGCCTGGAAAAACTTATATGAGGAAGGTGACTAGGACTAACTAAAGCCCCTGCTGTTATAATTATTCTTGGAGCTGCAAGTAATATTCATTATTCCCCTTCTGCACTAAGATTCTGTATTCTCCTCAACCACAGCTAGCACCTCTCCTGGTTTAAGTGATGATGGGATGATCCAGACCATCATCCCTAAGGGGTTTGAGCCCCTGGTCTTCATCACCTTCTTAGTCCATGGCTTCTGCATTTTTATATTTAGCATAAATATAAGCAAGGGACTATCGAGAGAGACTCACTGGATCACCTAGGTGACAAACATTCTTCCCTATACCCATTGTGTGACTGAAGACCTACCTCCTCCTGATGGCCAGGACACATTTCCTTGCCTGCTGCTGTTCTCCTAGCCCAGGGAATCTGAAGTGACAAGGTGGCAGGCATAAACAAGTCTGACAGAACTATTGTTATGTTCCCTGGCAAAAGCATTGTTTCTCTGGGAGCTCAGATCTCAGACATGCCTGAAGTTGTGGGGAAGAGCAGCACAAGTTCCTCAAGTGGGTTCCTGGGAATGATAGTAAACAGGGATACTTCTGCTTCATGGATCCAGGTGTCTCCTATCTATGGGGAGTACATCATGACATAAAAATTGTTGATTTCTACACTATGGCCTAGAGCATGGCACTCCATCCTCCTAGGGCATTATCTCCACGCTGGTGACGCTGGTGATACAACTGAGCCATTGCATAACTCAGTCAATCTTGTAACTTCTAGGTGGTATATTATATAACCAATTCCCACTCTTGCAACTCCTCTGCCTAGCTATTTGTACTTGATTCTGGATTCAACTTTTCTATCCTACGATGGATTGCTAGTGAGCCGATCTAACCTTGACCCAGCTCATGGTGGGCCGTTCAAGCTGCATAGTGGCCTAATCTCCCATGGACAAGCACTCCATGTCTGCCAGGAACCATTAGCATACCAGGAGCTGTGAATGGTGCATCGGTATCTCTTATGGATGTTATATGTATCTAAGTTGTGATGCTTTTATTGGGGTTTGCTATAAACTCCACATGGCAACTTTTCTCACCACAGATGCCTCTAATACTGTAGGATCTGCTGGGTCATATGGGCCAGATAGCAGAGCTAATTGCAGGAGAGTCTAAAACTTCTGTAGAGTCCTTTTCTTCTGTAAGCTACACTCAAAGCTGGAAGCTGTCTGTGTTACTTGGCAGATAAGTATTCTACCAAAGTGTGGAATGAGCTACCTCTCTAATTTAAAGAGGTTTACCAGGCATTGTGCTTTTCTCTTAGTGGTAGGGTCCGGAAAGTGTAATAATTTGTATTTATGTTGCAGAGGATGTCCTAACGTTTTCCAGATCAATCAATTGCTACAAACTTCACTAATGTGATCAGTCTCTGAACCTCAATAGGTTTTTCTCTCACTTTCTGGGGCACATATATATTACCCATGACTTGAATATACTTGTGACTTCTTGCTCATCCAGATTTACATGAGATCATTGGACCATATTAGAGGATGGAAGAGTTAATATTGCCCTAAGGCAAACATGTAAATATGTACTGTTGTCTATCCTATTTGAACTGACATTCCCACATAATATGGTTGGCAGGAGTTTTTCTGGATTTTCCTAATGTATCTACTCTAGCATGTTTATTTCTCTTAGTCTTCGATCCCATGTTGTATCATCTATGGAGCTCTGTCATTTTAAATTTACTCATTGTGGACTATAGCTTTTTGCAAAATGCCTATCAAACAGTATAGAAGTGTTAACTCATATGGTCCTTGCTAGGGTATAAAATCCCTTAACAGAGAAAAGTATTCCTGAGTCAATAAACTCTCTCATCCAACTTTTTATTGTCCTCCTTGAACCAGAATTCTCAGGATCCAGTCAAAAACTACTTTATCGGATCTTGCCAGTATATCTTGGCTAGCTCCTTCAGATCTTTCAATGTTAGCCCCTTTTGTCCCATGGAAAGCTCAGAACTTTTCCATATGAGTTATGCACTTTCACCCTAGTCATTAGTCTGGTGGCAAGGAGAGGCAGAAGATAAGTACAGGAGGGGAGAAGGGTACCTGGCCTTGTAAGACAGAGTCTCTGCATTGTATTTAAGCTAGTGTGAAGTTCTGGCATTTAACAATGAGGAGCAAGACACTTCAGCAGACTCAGAGGATGCAGGGAGATAAGGAGTTTCAACAGCCTTAAAAGCATCAACCCATTTTTCCTATCCCAAGGCTCAAGTTCCCTCTACTTTCCAAACAAGGTCAGAGCACAGAAAACTTGCCAGATTGAGAACTTAACCTTCTCTGGAGTTTTGCCACCGTTTAAAATTAAGTCCTATGCATCACCTTCAGTCTTCTGTCCTTGGCTGCAAGAAATAAGCATCCTTTCGTATGCTAAAAAGGAGTCCTTCTGACTTTTATATTTTACATTAAATTGGTGATTAATCACTTCATATTTCATCATCTTTCTCTAAAGCATAGCTTATATTCACCAATCATAAGATTCTATGGTACTTATAATTACTACTTACTCTGAACCTCTCTAGATTCTAAAATATTGCATCTGCCAATTAATTCCTTTCCTGGTTTTCCATGCCAGGTCACCACTGGTGAAAGTTTTAACAACTGCATCACCAGAGTGTGCTAGAGCCTATCTGTACTCCATCTACCACCAGTGATGTTACCTACCATTTACTGATGATTCAGCATTCCAATTTAGGATCTGTTTTCTTGATCCTCTCTTGGGACTAATTGTCTTAGGTCTGGTGCTCTAAGAAAGACTCTCACGTGCAGATTTGCATACAGGAAGTTTATGAGGGCATACTCTCATAAAACACCACCTGGGAGGGAATGCAAGCTGCAGATCTGGCAGATAAAGAAGTTGAATTGAGATGCAGTTACAACAGAGGCCTTAGCTGATTATACCAGGAGCTCAGAAGCTAAGCTGGCTCTTCACAGATATAACAAATTGGGGGAAGCGATTAAGCTTGTGTCCTGCCTTATTGACCAATCATTTCATGTTGTCTTCTCAGAATGTAATTGGCTTTTTAAACAGCAATACTTGATGTCAGACAACAATGAAGCCATAGTTAAAAATTGCCAACCAAATTAAAAGGAGAAAATGAAAATCTTTTGATATATTCAAAGCTGAGAAAAATTAATCCAATGTGCCCTTTTAAATATTTTTTCTTTTATCCCATTATCCCTTGAAAAGTTACCAAAAAACTTTCTTTGAAGGATGTACCAACATCAAGGAGAGAGGATGTTATGAGATTCCAACCCTAGAAAGCGTCAAAAGAAATTCCTAGGTATCAGATGAGCTACTACAGGTTCTAACCTGCAGTTCATATACACCGTTCCTCCAAGACCCCGGGAAAGAGTCATCTCACTCTTGGACACAAGAAGGACAAAAGTAAAACTTGAATAAACTGTCTGCTACCTGTAAATATCTAACATGCTTCATAAAGACCATTATTTGTTTATTTTAATGTAAAAGTAAAAGCAAATACCAGAAGAGAAAAATGCCCAGACACAGTGGCTCACACCTATATGTTGAAGGCCAAAAGAGTAAGGGTCGTGATCAACCCAGTATACCACTGGAGGCTGTATGAGTAAACAGCAAACTGTTCTCATAAATGCAGAATGTTGGCAGACGGACAAACTGCCTCTGCCACCCAGAAGGAATGCTGAGGGCAGTCACGACCCAGGCACAAGTGTTTCTTTTGATTAGGCACATCTGAAGCCTGTTAGCAATAATGTGAACCTGTGATCAGTCGAGCAGCTGACCAATCATTACCTCCTCCTCCCTGCTCTTTCTACCCAATAAATACAAAGGGCTGTGGAAGCTCAAGGTTGCTGCCTTTGCTTACTGGAAGCAGAGAGCCCTCTTCTTCCTCCCCTAGCCCCTTCCTTTAAAATAGTTACTTTTGTCTTAAGTTTTTATTTCTACATTCGTCCTCCTTCCTTCAGTCTCGTAATGACTGTCTCAAGCAGTATCAGTAGTAACTGTTGTAATGATAGTCTCAAGTAGTAACCATGGCAGTCAGCCACACCTGTAATTCCAGTTTTGGGGAGGCCAAGGTGGAAGGATCACTTGAAGCCAAGAGTTTAAGACAAGTCAGGACAACATAAGGAGACTCCATTTCTACAGAGAAAAAAAAAATTAAATTAGTGGTGCATGGTGGCCTGTGCCTGTGGTCCTAGCTACTTGAAAGACTGAGGTGGAAGAATCACTTGTTCAAGGCCAGAAGTTCAAGGTTAAAGTGAGCTATGATCGCACCACTGCACTCCAGCCTGGGCAACAAAGTGAGACACTATCTCAAAAAAAAAAAAAAAAAAAAAAAAAAAAAGAAAGAGAGAGTGATAAATGGTCAAAATGGTCAAAGGGCATAAATTAGGCTCACAAAATAGGATATCTGAATGTTTATTAAATATAAAATGTTAAAATTTGATTATGAAAGAAATACACATTTTAAAAAACAATGAGATGCCATTGGGGGCCTATTACTTTCAGAGATTAAAAAGATTGAAAAGAGCTCTGTGCAGGTAACAAGATATGGGCCTTCTCAAGTATTGTTGCTAAGTGTGCAAATTGTTTTAATAATCCTGGTGGGTAATTATTAACTTTAACAAGGTGCCAAACCCTTGAGCCAGTATTAGTCTCAGAAATATCCATGACAATTTTGTTTGCACTAGTAAGAAATTGAAAATAGCCTAAACAGCAAAAGGAGAGTTGAATAAATAAATTTCACTGTGGAATTAGAAAATGAAATACTATGTTGTTAATAACGAAGGTGTTGTAGAAAACTAACATCATGGTAACATTGGTACTATATTTTCAAGAGAGATAAAGCAGATTGTTAGGTAATGAGTAGTTTGTGAACCAATAATGCAAAGAGATTCTATTTTGCCTCCCCAACCCCACAGCTCAGGTTTTTCTTCTCCTTTGGGCAACTGCTTAAATTCAGAGGCAGCTACCAAAAGGAAACGTCTCTCTACCCCCTACTGTTTCTTCTGTGCAAAAGAATGTAAAATATGAGGCTTCTCTTTCGCATGTAGGCCTGAGAAGTTTTGACAAGAATGTGTATGCAGGGAGAAATGACTGGTGAAAGAATTTAGAAAGAATGTATGGGGACAAAAAGGAATCACATGAGCTGATTTAAATTCTTCTTGTGACAAGGGGTGTGTGCAAACATGAAGGAACTAGGGTTTTGTTTGTAAATGTTTATCGGTTTGGGAGAGGCAAAGATCACAGACTGTGATATTCTTGGGATAAACAGCTCAATATGTTGGTCCCAAGCGACACCATGTGGAATTGAGAAGAGGGCCATTCTCATCTAAACACCCATCGGAGCCCAGGTTTGGCGTTCTGAAGATCAGGGACTTCCATTTGTTTATAAGCTCATTTGATTGACAAGTATTTATTGAGCAACTACTTTATGATAGTCCCTGTTTTTGCTGTTGGTAATGTAAAAATGAAAAAGACACGTTTTTCTGTTCTTAAGGCAGTTACCGAGTTAAAAAAAAATAGTATGTAATCATCTTATATGGTACATGTATATTTATATAAAAATATGTTATAATGATAGTATATCTTAAATATCATAGTATGTTATACTATAAGAAAGAGTATAATACATTCAGTAATGAAAAATGCTGTAAAGAAAAATAAATCCAAGAGGGAATGGTGTGGTAGTGAAAGAACGCATCTAGCTGGGGTCGTCTACCTAATACAGAGAAATGTTAACTGAGATTTGAAGGAAGAGATAGCGTGAACCCTGCTCATACCTGGAGGAAAGCACGCTTGAGGGGAGAGCACTTGGCAGCTGGAGGAAATGCAGAAAGGCCTGGTGCTAGGGAGCACAATGTGGCTAGGGGAGAGCAGCACCAGACCAGTCAGTGGCCTGGTCCCAGGCGGAGGCATGGCTGGAAGGCCCTTCTATTCCCAGTAAAAGAACTAGGACATGATATCACTTAGGTTAAAAAATAAAATACAGTTATTCTGGCTGATTGGTGGTGAATAGAAGCAGGGAGACTGGCTAAGCTGCTATTGTTACAGTCCCAAGGTGGTAGTATATTGCACTAAAGCAATCAGAATTGACTTATAGGTTGCATTTGTGTCATGAAAGAGAGATGTCAATGATGACAGCATAGGTATTGACCTGGACCATCAGAAGAACAAAACATTGAGAGAACACCCATGACCTAGTCACAGGCATTTCATGAACAACTGTATCCCCATAGTGACTCTGAAACTCCCTAAATTGGACTTCAGACTCCAAGACATCCAATCAGAACCTAAGTAAAAGAAAAAAAATATGGCAGATGCATAATGATGATTTTTGATGATAGACTGATTTGTGAACTGTCATGAGGAACCTCCTTGAGGCTTTTAAAAACTGAGTTTTTGGAAGAGGGTGCTAAGTTCCAGCAATCTAGTACATAGACGGATAAATGGATTGATAGCTGAAAGGGAGAAAGATTATATAGAAAGAGGCAGAGAGAAATTGTGTGTGTGCATGAGTGGAGTCTCAAGAGAATATCAAAGTAAATATTTAATACAAGTCCCCATACACCTACTATGTACCCCAAAATTAAAAATTTTAAAAATTTTAGAAATAAATATAATTTTAAATTGAGGACTACCAAAAAAAGTGATGGTATCTGGTGTCTGAAAAATAGTAATTAGTTGGGATTCCTAAACTAAATGCCATTCTTGGTCATCAATCAAAAGATAAGGAGAATGAAAATTTGAAGGAAAGGAGAGGGATGTTCTCTACAGAAACACTTAAAAATGGAATTACCTATGGGTAAAAGCTTTATGATTATAGGAAACCATATTTCTTCACTAGTTGTAAGTTAGAGTTTTAAACAGCACAACACTATTTAAGACCATGCGTGTTTACTTTTTCTCTCTTTGGAGGAAATTGCAACAAAACAAAATATTCCTTCTTCATAAACTCTGAGATTTTGTGATATTTTACAGAAGGCTATGAGAATTGGTTGAGTGAAAATATACTATTCAGAGATTTTAAAGTCTCAAAAATGATTGTTCCTTTGGGAAAAGTACCTCCTAAATGAACCACCACTTAAGTGAAAACAGAAAATGCCATTGTTAACATTCTAACAGACTCACTCCTCTAGACATGTGCTCAAGTGTTGTTCGCACATACTCAGCAAGCTCTCTGTGGCCATGTACCTGCCTTGTTTCCTCCCTTGGCATGTGCTTGAGCTATAAAGTCATCATTTAAAATTAAAAACCCTGGGTATGATGCGCATAATAGCTTCTTTGTTTCTAGGCTTACCAGGTGAGTGAAAGTAGAACTTCTAAGAGTAAAACCAAAGCATAATATTGATTACTTCGTATGCAAACTTTTTTTAATTTTAAGCAAAATCTACATGGATTGTCAGGGAAAGTATTACAGACTTTGATGACCTATGGGTAGAAGATCAATCAGAGACAAGGATATTTAAATGACAGCAAACCAATAGTGGGTAGGTTTTTTTGTTTTCTCAGTGAGGAGTAATGGAGACAGGAGCAAAGATAAAAGAAAAAAGAAGACAATGTCTTAAATTTTAAAATGAGACCTTGGACTTGCAGTCACACGATACTATTTCCCTTTGTTCCAGATATTTATTGCTGCATAACCACCACCCCAAAATTTAGTGGGATTAAAACATAACCAACAAGCAGTTGGTTACCTTTGCCATTTTGTAGGTCTGGAATTTGAATAAGGCACAGTAGAATAGCTAATCTTTTCTCCATAATATCTGAGTTCTCAACTAAGGTGGCTTGAATAGGTTAAGATGGCTGGGACAGCTTTATTGGGTGGTATGTTTGGAGTCTTTGTTCCAGTCTGTTGTGCGGGTTCATCAATTTTCCACTTTGTGTCTGCTAATACTGCAGTGTCTAAGATGACTTTGTTTCTCGTTCTTGTGTGTGTTTGTTGTTTTTCTTGAGACAGGGTCTCACTCTGTCACCCAGGCTGGAGCACAGTGGGACAATCGCGGCTCACTGCAGCCTCCACCTTCTGGGCTCAGGTGATCCTTGCACCTCAGCCTCCCAAGTAGATGGGACCACAGGCAAGCACCACCACATCTGGCTAATTTTTTGTAGAGACAGGGTCTCCTTATGTTGCCTAGGCTGGTCTTGAACTCATGGGCTCAAACAGTCCTCCCATCTCAGCCTCCCAAAGTGTGGGGATTACAGGCATGAGCCACTGCACGCAGCCTTAAGATGACTTCTTTACTCACCTAGGTTGGGTTACTGGAACAACTGGGACTGTGTGTGCATCTCTCTCCATGTGGCCTGTCAACATAGCTAGCTTTGGTCATCTTCACAGCAAGGTAGCCTCAGCATAGTAGGACTTGTTAAAGAGAGGCTGTTTTCTCCTAAGAACAAACATTCTAGGAACACACTGACTAAGCCTTAGAAATTCTGGAATATCACTTCAACAATAGTCTATTGATCAACTATATCATTAAAAACTGGTCAAATTCAAGGGAATCCACATCTTGAAAGAAGAGTAAAATATGCAAGCATATTTAATATACCATACCTCTCCTTATAGTATAATCTCATATAATTTGGAAAGTGTTATAATATTCCTTAATTTTAGAAAAATTTAAAGGTGGGAAAAAAAGGTGTGGCATAATAAAATAAAACGATTATCTTCCATTTTAAGGACTGTCTTACTCTGGTAGTCCATATTGAAATAAGAATAAATATAATTATTGGTAAATTTGATTGTCTAGTCAATAACACGTTTACTTTATGAGAAATATAAATAATATGAAATACAAAATGAAATATATAAACATGGCATATTTTGTTACATATAGAAATGTAAAGATTTTTTTGTAAAGTAATTGTGACCTCCCAACTTTCTGTTTTCCCTCATTCAAAACATTCTGGGCCTACATAGCAAAAGGCTTTAAAATGTCTTCTATTAAAATGTTATCGAAATGTTCTGTGATTAAAGTAGCATCTCAAGTGTGTTCTAATTGAACTGCATCTGTGAATTCTGCAATTTGGCTCCTATGAACCTTGACAACATGTAAAAGCTTGCATAGAAATTATATTTATTGAGCTTTTAGTCTGTGCTAGAAAATATTTTAAACACTTATTACCTATTAATTCATTTAAATCTCCAAATGGCTCTAGGAAATGAATAGTAGTATTATTTCAATTTAACAAATAAGTTATCTAAAGCAAAGACCTTGCCCAAGCTCAGAAGCCAACGAGAAGTAGAGCTGGGATTCAAATCCACACAGCTAGCTTTATTGAGTGTTTTAATCACTATAATACACTGTATGAGCTGCCTGAGTATTCTTAAAAGTAACAGTGGAGTTAAAATCACTTTATTTAATCTCTCTCTTTCTATGACTTATTCTTCTGCATTTAAAATCTCTGAGGAACAAAATTTTTACTTTGTCACTGTGACTTAAAATCCTTCCAATCACAGATAGAAAATGTAAACTGGGGAAATAAAATATGGAGTGCATTTTGTATTAACTGTCCTAGTATTAAGACAGACTAGAACACATTTTGATCATCTGTAATTGGAGCCAATTGACTTGGATCTTGCACTGAAATCCTGCTGAGCATCACAGACACACTTAGCCTAAATATTATTACTTAGATTTAATTTCTCCAAATTATGGCTTTTATGGGCCTTAAAAGCCCCATAAACAAGTGTCAATGATTGTAGACACATACAATTTCTGTTGACATACACAACAAAATGTGTGGGTCACTGTACAAAGCTCAAAGTAAAAGTTGACTTTTATTACCTCTGTACTAATAACAGTTACCATTAGTAGACCATGCCTATAGAAGGACAGTTATTAAATGGATGAGCTTTAGAAAAAATTAAATCAAATTTAATTCTATCAGTTCTAGATAACAAAGCATGGGCCAGATAGCATAACTGTCAGCATCAATGTGGGCCTTTAAGTAGGTACTAAATTACATGTCATTTCTCCTTCAGAGAAAACAGAAGAAAAGTTGCAACAGAGTGAAAAATCAGGAAAACCTCATCGAGATAGATATTCTGCCAGAGACAAAACGAAACCTCATCGAGATAGATATTCTGCCAGAGAAAAATGAGACATCAGATATGTGTGATCACAGGTCATAGACTCAGTGAAGGTGAACAATTCTCAGACTTGGGAATTTTGAGACCAGCAGGCAGGTCCTATATCAGCACATTGGCTGTAGCCATTGGTCACAGGGAATAAAGCAAGCATGAGGGTTTCCCGAGTCCAGAGGCTCTTGTAATTGCTCTAGAGCTATGTGCTTCATAGGGTGAGTGTGACATCTGAGAGATGTCAGGTATGGTGACAACAAATTTAGTGGAAGCCTTAGCACAAGGTCATACTGTTTTAGAAGAAGCCTAATCTTAATCCTCTTTAAACTAGCAGTTTGGGTTTCTGGTGAGTTATTTAGCTTGGGCAGAAAACCAGATCCAAACATCTAAGAACTTTTCCTTCTGGTTCAAAGAACTTTTGGATAAAATCACCCTCTAACAACCTCTTCTGAGGTAGGAATTTTCTTTTTTCTCTATCTTGTGGCTTCAGCCATCTTGCCGTGTGCCTTCTTCTAGGGCTCCAGAACTTTTTTATCCAAGTCTTAGCCTACTCACGATTGAAGAGTAAATAGGAGTTGAAACTTGTCTGTTACAAATTCAGCTTATACTGGTCTCCTGGAAGCTGGAGGCTCCTTTGGGAACATAAGTGGGTAGAATGCATATATTTCACTTTGTGCCTTTTATTTTCGGAGTTTAAAAAAAAATCCCTTACTTTTTATACTGCCTCATACTAGCCTCTCTAAGATAACTTAAACCATTTTCTTTACCCTTTTATTGAAGCCAATGGGGCATTGCAAATTATCATTGTACTACTGAGTCAGTAATAGCCATAGAGTTTTTTAAAAGCATTATTAAAGGAACTAATCTGAATGCACATCAACTACTTTTCTCATTTGAATAATAGAGCCACGTAATTTTTCAAACTGTATTAAAAATGCCCAGTTTAAATTTCAGAATATAGTTCCATTTGTGAGGCTCTAATGTGGGTTTTTTTTGGTTTTGTTTTGTTTTGTTTTTGCAGCAAGGGAGCGAGGGTTTGTTAATTTTTGTTTTTATGATGTTTCCAAAATAAATTACACAAGCGAATGATTAATAAATTCCAAATCAAGCTTTTAAATCTATGTGCTGATAAAACTGTCTTAAAATTTATATCTCAAAGACTATAGTGTTCTATGAAATCTATCCAGAATAGAGGAAACATAATCTCTTTTCTCCATTACTCCAACAATGTCCAAACAGAAGAAGGCAGTAATAACTTTTTTTTTTTTTTTTTTTGAGACAGAGTCTCGCTCTGTCACCAGGCTGGAGTGCAGTGGCGTGATCTCAGCTCACTGCAACCTCTGCCTCTGAGGTTCCAGTGATTCTCCTGCCTCAGCCTCCCGAGTAGCTGAGACTACAGGCATGTGCCACCACACCCAGCCAATTTTTGTATTTTTAGTAGAGACAGCATTTCACCATGTTGGCCAGGATTGTCTCAATCTCTTGACCTCGTGATCCGCCCACCTCGGCCTCCCAAAGTGCTGGGATTACAGGCCTGAGCCACCGCGCCTGGCCAATAATAACATTTTTAAGCTCAATTTAGATGAGTGACATTATGCTGTGTGCTATAAATATCTAATCTTCCAAACAACCCTGAAATGAAGTTATTACTATTTGTACTTTTCCCTACTTTGTATTCATCTGCTTATCATCACTACATATCCTCTGTTCTGGAGACACCAGGTTGATAGTGAATGTTTTCAGCCTTCCTCATGATATGACCAGAATATAAATCTGGTAATCACTAATCAAATGTATTTTATAAGTTAAAACTTGCTAGATAGAAAACCCAATAAAAAGCTATTTGTAATGTTCAGTAATGACATAATGAGATGTAAACCTCTGGGAGGGAGAAGAAAAGAAATAAATGTTTGGCCAAAGAATTATAGAGGCAGCAGTACCTGGACATGAGGGGCTTGTGAAAAAGAGAAGTCTTGATGAATCGACTTTTTTATGAATGGTGATAATGTTAACAGAAATCGTGTAGAGAGAAGATGATGGTGAATCTCTCTAGACATATTGGTTTAACGTTCTATGAAACATGCAGGTGGAAACGCCTGACTTTTTTTGGGGTAGAGGGGTGAAATGAAAGCACTGTGGGACCCCTAAAGGAGGATCAGGGAAGAAAAAAGGGACGAACAAAAAAGAGGGAGGAGAGAGCAGATGTAAAGGAGAGGGAAGTTTATGTCTCCTACTTTATAATGCACAAGTAAAAGTTTTTCACCTTTTTGGTACCATCATATAATCTGTTGTTCAAAAAGAAAAAAAGTGATGAGACTTTACACTCACCAAATAGGATGCTCTTTTCAACAAATCAAGCAAACAAACAAAACTTGTGTCTGACAACCACAGCCAAGAGAAGCAGAGGCCACTACCCATCACTAACTTTAATTACTTCTAGGATAGCCTAAAAAGAAAAAAAGAAGAAAGGAAGAGACAGGGAGAGAAAGGAAGGAAGGAAGTTAGATAGTTGGCAGATTAGATCTGTTGGTTATTGTGGAAGTAACGATAGGGCTTAGAAAAAAGCACATCATTTTCATACTTTTTCTGATATGTGTATCTAATTTTTTAGTATATGAAAATTTATTTTCTCATGTTTTCTACTAATTGATATTCATTATGATACAGAAATAGGCAAGGCTACTTGATTACAATCAAAAATCAATTTTTTTCAGTTTTGAAATAGTTTCCTGTTCTTTTTTCAACTAAAAACTATTTTAAACTCTTCACTTATACAGTACTTGTAAGGTAAGTTCCCTTGATTGCTGCCTAGAAGTTTCCCACCGAGAAGTATAAACATATGCTTCTACTTAAAATAGAAGCAGCCCTATCTTCACCTCCTTCATTTTTCTTAAGATCTTTTATCATTAGAAATGTCCTTGGAATCAGAAATTTTAGCAGAACAGTATTGTACTTTCCCATTGAAAAAAAAAAGATTTTTATTGCTTTCCTTTAATTACCAGCTTCTGGAACGATTTTGAACATCCCTCTGAAATATTAAAAATTTGAGATTGTTGAACAACTATGAATATTCACCAAGCAGTCATTCGACCCCTTTGCACATTCCTAAGCAGAATATGATAAAGATCAGTCAATCCAATTCTGCAATTCCTTGTTTGAATTTTCAGATATAAGTTTAAGATTGATTTAGTCATAGCTTTCTTCTCACCTGAGATGGACTTTGGTAAATTCAATAGAAGAATGTAAGTATTCCTGTTTACTTATTTAATTTTTTTTGCCTTGAGTTTTTCTAATTGGCATGTATACCCCCTTTTAAAATTTCCCTCAACCTGACAATCAATTGCTATAGGACCAAGCCGGTGCAGTATGCTTCTCTTGCTGTTTAGCACAATACCTATATACAGTAGGAGCTTGATTGGTGCTCATGAAAGAAGGAAAGGAGAAGCAGGCATGCAGCTTGTTCTTAAGGAATTAGATTGAATTGGATTAACAAGTAGGCTGGAAGTAAATACCAAACAGTAACAACAAACGTTCCAAAGCTAAAAATATTTTATGACCAGCAAATAATTACAGCCTGAAAAATTATCTTTATTGCCATTTTTGCTATGATTGGTATCTTTAAAAGCCACGCTTATTAGCATGCAGGTTTACAATTATGCTCTGAGCCTGGTAATGCCCTGCCATTTTTACCTCTAGGGATTTATGTCTGATTCTTGTTCCATTAGTAAGCGTCTGTAGGACAGAATGACAGAGCCATTCGTGCTTTGCCAGCACATGATAATGATGATATTATTATTTTCACAGTCAGTTTGGTGATGGTTGTTTGAACCTCATCATGTCTAATAGAGGAAAAAATGAAAAAACTAATATTTGAAACAGTGTATTGTGTTTAGCATCATTATTGCCACTTTTATGGCAAGTGCTTTGACATTTAAGTGAGTTCCATTTACAATATCGCCACCATAATCTCCTCATTTTGTAATTGCTTCTGGATACCTATAAGGTTTAACTGCTGGTATTACTCTTCAATAAAAAAAAAAGAACTCATGCATTAGATTTATGGAAAGTTATCCTGGGGATTTTAGATCGTTATTTTAATGTTAGCAGAGCTCAATACAGCATAGGTCCTATTGTTAGTTGCTGTAGCCTGCATGAGTTATGTGGATTTCTTGGGCTGTACAGACATTGAGGCCAGTTGTGCTATGGGGGTAGCAACTCCCATCTTGGGATTGTAGAATAAATGTATAATAAGGTATTCTGAAGTGAGCAGCTTATTTGGCTGCTCCTCAGAGACCCTCTGACTCTGGGATGGATACAGGATGTCTGCCCCAGCACGCTTGTTTTCCTCGTCCCAACGCCTGACAGACAGCACCACTCAAGTGTGGGATTTTCACTAGTTGGCGTGATGTCAGCCAACTGGGGAATACATCTGAGAGGGCAGCATACTGAGACACTACTGCCTGACAGGTTTGTTTTCACGTGATGGATTGGTCAGGGGATCAACAAGGCAGAGATCAGATATGGTCTAAACATCCAGCTGTAGGATTTGGTGTTTAGGAAGAGGGGAAATTGCTTCTGTTTGGCCCATAGATTGGAACCCACTATAGAGATGGATTTTTGTTTTTTTCCCTTTCATGAACATTCTTTAATTAACATTATAATGGCTTCTGAGTAGCCTTGCCAAGCTTAGATCCTTTCTTCCAACTGAAATCATTCTGCTTCACCTTCTGTACCAAAAGCAAAGAAATATTTCCAAACCTCCACAGTGCAGTTTGGTCCTCCTGGAGATTTCTTCTTCATCTTTTGAATCTATCAATATTCCCCATGTCTAATGGAAGTATTACTATAACTTACAGAAAGCTGAGTTAGCTGTTACTTACTTTTTATTCAGACCACAAAACGTGAGTTCTGAGGACACCAAAAAGTAGGTGCTGAAGGCAGAAATCTGAATAGGTCAGATTTTTCTTCCTTTCATGATTATGCAGTGAGTCCTATAGAAAGAATTTTTCCTTGCAGTCTGGCTTCCCTCTATATGACAATCTGTCCACCAAATTCTGGATATAGGAATATTATGAATCATACAAGTTATGTAAATACATCTTTGCACCAAATGTTGAAAAACTAGATTTAACAAACAAATAGGAGAGGTATGTGATATGATTAAGCAAAAGAGTGTTCCTAAGTAAATAAAAATCAAGTAATTTTTGTTTAAAACAGAATAACCTATGCTACTGGGGAGCCTATACCATGATGAGTTTCAGTAAATCTAACTCCACATTCATTTACCTAACTTGTGCATTCTGTTGATTTCATCAAAAGCCATCTAGCAAGAGAAATAAGGTTGCCTGTTAGCACTTACTAATCTAACAATCTGGGGTTTTAAAAAGTTATTCCTGCTTCTCAGTTAATACTTCAAGATTTATAAGTATAATGGCTTTGATAATCCAGTCAATAATTCACATGTAGATAACAGTATAAAAAATTCTGCAACTACCCATTGAGACAAGAAATCTTCACATTTCAATAAATAACCAAGAAAAAACCCTGCAGCTTTCAGCTGCCAGCTTAGAGGAAGTTTCTGTTGAGGTTCTGAGGCCCTCAGACTACTCTCTCCTCTGTCTGTCCATTTCTATAGCAGCTTTGTTATGTTTTATGATGACAGTCTCACCCCCTTGAGACCAGCCATAAGAAAGGTACAATAGCAGCATTATTTGTATTGTTTGGTTTTGTATGAGATGCACATTGGGAAACCACTACTTCATGGAATAGCATTTGCAGGAGGTCTCCAGGGGGCAGCTCTTACCAATCTCGCTGGCTCAACCCAAGGTTGAATGACAATAAAGAATGGGAAAAATTAAAAGAAAAGGTACTTTAATTGAACCTGTATTTGTGGAAATGTGATACAGACCTAGAAAACACCTTTCTTAGTTCCTGGAATGAGAAAGACGGCTTCTCCAGGGACCTTGTACAGTGACAGCTGAATCTTTGCTGGCTAAAACAAATGCCCTCCATTAGCTAAAGATGTACTTCAAAAATACTTCTTTGAGAAAATGCTCATTCTCCCATTGACAAATAAAACAGAATAAGATAAAATAAAATAACAAAATAAAACAGACGAGACCAAAAACAAGAGATGGCAAACTTTCTCAGTCAAGGGCTTTGCAGGGCATATGGTCTCTGTGGCAACTACTCAGCACTGCCATTATAGTGTGAAAGGAGTCATGGAAAATAACATAATCAAATGTGCGTAGCTGTGTCCCAATAAAACCTTTTTTATAAAAGGAAGCTGAGTTTGGCCCAGGGAGCTGTATGCTGATCACTGATCTAAAGTATTTTGCAGTCTAGCTGCTTACTATAAAGTTGGAGAAAAGTCTGGAATAATGAAGTCGTTATCCAGCATGTCTAAAATTCAGATCTTTTAACATTCAGTTCTCTTGCTCTACAGTGCCACTGTCACAATGCTCTCATGCCAAACCTTGACTGCAAAGCTGAGATGTTAATATGGAACACCTGAGAGGGCTGGCACTTCAGCGTCCTTATTCCTCCAGAACCACACCACAAAAGTCACCTTCTCCCCAGACAGATTCTCTACAAAATGCCTTGCAGCCGAGGTGTGGTGGAAAGAATATTGTATTTGGAATAAAAAATTTTTGATTTTGCACCATCATGGTCTCATTCATGAGCTACGTGTACCTGGGCAAGACAGGCTGTTCATGGCTTTTCTTTTTCTTACTTCTAAGAGTCAATATTTAACTCCGTAGGAGACTTGTTAAGCTCAAGTGAGAAAATTTACCTAAATATCCTTTAGTGATGACAAAGGACTAAACAACTATGAGCTATGTCATTATATCGATTAAATACATGGATAAGTGAATGGCTATCTTCAGGTAAACTGTGATCGATGAATTATGTGGTGGGTTGTGATTGGCAAGCACATGAGTTCCATGCGTGCCTAAGCCAGTTGATTTTACTGTACTTCAAGGCCTCCAAATTATATCTCCTAGCCTTGACAGGCATACTTGTAAATATATTACAAAACTGTAATAAATTGCATATACATCAAATCATGAGAGTATCAGGATAGGATCCAAATTGTTTAAAAATCTACTAACATGACAGACTCTCTTGGGTTAAAGCATAAGCAGCTTTTTCATATTTGAAAGAATGACTGTCACTGTGTCTCAATTTGGGATGCAATACAAACTTATCTTAAATTCAAAGATCACCCATTGAACCAGATTATGTGGCAAATTGCTGGGGTAGGGCTGATAAAAAAAATTCCCTAATGTTTCTGGCTCCTGAAAGACTCAACCACTGGCTTCTCTAAAAGCAAGTGCAATCCAGGGCATGGATCTCTTCCTTAAGAGGTACTCTATGAGAATACTGTGGAGGAGAAAAACAAAAACAAAACAAAAAGCATTGCTAAATAATCTGTTTTGTCTTGTCTTGTCTTTGGTGCACAGTATTTTAGCACCATTCTAGAGTCTATTAATTTGTTTGCTATAATACAAAAGCTTTCTTAGAGCTACTCCACTTCTATCACTTACTTTAGTTCTACAACTCCAAAAAGACATAGGATCTAGTCTAATTTAAAAAGAAACTTTTTTTTTATTTGAAGAAATGTTTTTGCATATGGCTTCCAAAAGTATCTATGAGCTTCAAATAAATCTTTTGACCTAAACATTATTATGGGTCATTGTAATTCTGAGAGGCAGTCGACTGCCAGCTCAGACTCAATCAGTATTCATCTAGAGGCATATTCTACATGTAAAACCTTGTTAATGGTGGAGAAGCACTGGTTAGGAGAAAGGGGTGAGTGGAAGGCAGAAGCAGAAAAGATGCAGAAGACATTCCACATCCACCCAAGTACAGTGAGGTGTGTAAGACAGAACACAAATTATGGGAACCACATAGAACCACACCTAGTCCAGTCAAAAGAGCACAAACTGGGATTACAGAGACCTGGTCTATCCCAAATGTATTGCTAAGAACCTGGGTGCTTTTGTAAATCTCCATTTACTCACCTTTACTGGAGAGTTTAGTCCACATGCCAATCCTGCTTTTACTGTTTTATGGATTCATGATTCTATGGATTTTAATAGCATAGATTACAGAAAGTTCAGTAGGGAGATTCCCCTCTGCATATTATGATATGATAAAACCAAGTACTTAGGCTTTCTGACCAGAGTTCTGTCTTATAAGGTAGTTTCTTCTTTAACACTGACCTATGGCTATGTGAGGACTCCACAATGAACACATGAATGCTCAGACTGGGATTATTGAGAGTTATTTTTCCTAGGGCTTCATTCATTCCAGAGAAGAAACAACTGCTTCTCTGTGCCTGAAACTATGTCCCCACTTCTCGCATTCTAGTAGACGGCTCTAGGTAAAATGTTTGTTTCTGACTGTGCTTCGGGTGTAGCAAACAAAATATACAAAACGTGGGTGTAGGAAACAAAAGTCATGAAGTTGGAAAAGTGCTCCATGAAAGACATTATATTTTATATTTAGAACTAGATTTTACATCTCAAAAATAACAGATTAAACAGACCTAATGCTTCCTTATGTCAGTGAAGAAAATAATAGACAATATAAAATTTATGTTATTTTTTACATCATCTAAGTACTTCGAAACTAGAATAAAATCACTATCAAACAACACAGTGTACAAAGACAGTGATTTCCAACTCTGGTAGTAGAATAAAATTATGTGTTAATATTTAAAAATGACCAGGGTCCTGCCCCAAACAATTAAATGATGAGGTTTGCGTATAGGAGTTTTGCTCCAGAGAGCAGTATTTACGTACACCAAAATGAAAATGGTGCACGTGGAGTTTTGCTGCTCCACGGCCCTAACATTGTTCTAAAAGCAGATGCAAGAAAAACGTTTGCAAACACTTCATTTTTCCAGCAAAAGTATTCATTCCTTCATTAGCACATATTCCAATAAGGGAATAAATTGGACTTCATTCTTCAAGTTTTTGTTGAATTATAAGGAGGCTGGAAGGACAGGACCAGTAGTTACAATCATTTTAGAAGGATGACGTTGCCTGAAAAAAAGCAGTCATGGAAGCCACTCCAGGTGGCCTCTGAGACCTGTGGAGATTTTTTCATTTCTCACTAACTCATGTTTTACCATCTGTAAAAAGAAGGCAATATTTGCCTCTGACCACCACAGAAGAACGATCTGAGAGAAAATGTAATTAAAAATGAGAGTTCCAAGGAGTGCTTTTTGTAAGAAAAGTATGATGTAAAATTAAGATATTATCATAGTTAATGCGGTTGTCACTACTACTGTTACTTGACTATTGTACTACAATATCCCTGTCATGCTGTTAACGATCTTCTTGGGACCAAAAGTGACAGGTGTAAAATGATTTTTTTTAATGTCATACTTGCTTTGTCTTCTAAAGAAAAGTCTATGAGGACCTCAGAATGGGCCAAAAAATACAGTAGTCTTCTCATGGAAATCCCTCTAACCCTGGATCTACTGTACACACTCATTATTTCAGTTTCCCCACCCCTTCAATTATCATGCATTTTTATTCAAATACAATGTAAAGCTTCAGCTGATTTGAATAGTGTTAGAAACCACAGAAGGGGCTTTCTTTAGAACATTAAATGGGGACTGCCTTTCTTGAATCCAACCTTCTTGAATATCACAACTGTTTCTATCCTGTTTCTAGAGAAAAAGTTCCATTTTCACATCTGTCTCTTGCAAAGACATAACATGTGCATAGAAGTAAACTCTGTTATGCGCCACTGAAGGATTCAGTATCTGGAGTCTGAGGGCATTTTTCTTTATGTCTACAATGAGAGAAATTGGACTAGCTGAGCCTACAGTGCTTCTACTGCAAAAATGCTGTGAGTATAGAATTATGACCAAAAATCCCAATAGGTTTTTTCTTTTTATTTATTTTTGTTGTTGTTTTCTTGAGACAGAGTCTCGCACTGTCGCCCAGGCTGGAGTGCAGCGGCATGATCTCGGCTCACTGCAACCTCCGCCTCCCAGCTTCAAGCGATTCTCCTGCCTCAGCCTCCCAAGTAGCTGGGATTACAGGCACCTGCCACCAGGCCCGGCTAATTTTTTGTATTTTTAGTAGAGACGGGGTTTCGCCGTGTTAGCCAGGATGGTCTTGAACGCCTGACCTCATGATCCACATGCCTTAGCCTCCCAAAATGCTGGGATTACAGATGTGAGCCATTGCCCCCGGCCCCCTATTGGGATTTTTTTAATGGAACTATGTGACTCTAAAATTCAGTTTAAAGAACAACCCAAATACTCTTGCTTAAAATACCAGAAAAAATCTTTAGTTTAGTGGTGTGAATGCGGGAATAGGGACTTTTACCTGCCAAATATCAAGACGTATGATAAAGTTATAATTAAGGCAGTGTCGTTCTGGTCCAAAATATATAGTCATATGATAGAATAGAATAGTAAATACAAAAAGAAATTAATGTTTGTGAAAGAATCAGTGAGAAAGGGATGAAAATAGAAATTACTATTGTGACCAAAATGTTTATCCATTCCTAGTAAGTATTCAGTATTTACAGAATATGTTTATATTCTTTACATTAAATTCATGACTAGCCATGTTCCTTAATTCAATATTATTTTTGAATAGTTTGTAAGTTGATTATCTTTCAGTTTCCAAGTCAACAAAATTATTACTTACAGATGCTATGGTTATTTACTTTTATTTAAATATACTTAGTATTAATTTTGATATTATGTATTGATTAGAATTTTCTCTTTGTGATGCATAATGACAGTAATGAGAGATACCCTTCTGCCTTTTCTACTCAGTAGACATTGGCGGTTGCTTTTAAACACATATTCTTTTTTGGAATGTGGGTCCCCATCTCTAGCGCATTGAAAGTTGTTTTTTATTTTTTTTTTAATTTTTGAATCATGACTATATGTTACATTTATAAATGCCTTTAAATCATCTATCAGAAAGTTTTCACAGTCTTTTTCTTATGATCATGTAGTGTGATGAAAAAGGGTTATAGATTGCAATCTTAAATTTCTAGATTAAACCTTATTTGGTATAGTTTTCATTTTAAAAATCAGAATTTGATAATACTATGTTTAATATTTGTGCATCTATAGTCATAAGTAAAATTGGTCTACTTTTGGTATTATTCTTTTCAAGTATTTTTCTAAGTATTAAAAATTTATTTTTGTAAACCTGTCCCATGGCTATTACCTAGATGAATAGGTGTCTTAGTCCACTTGGTGTCATTCTAAAGGCATAACTGAGGCTGGTCAACTGATAAAAGAGGTTTATTGGCTTATGGTTCTGTAGACTGTATAAAAAGTATGGTGCCAGCGTCTGCTCAGCTTCTGGTGAGGGTCTAAGTCTACTTCCACTATATTGGAAGAAGAAACTAGTGCCTACAGAAACCACAGAGCAAGAGAGAAAGTGGCAGGGGAAGTGCCAGGTTCTTTTTAACCAGCTCTCACAGGAACTAATAGAGTGAGAAGTCACTCACCCCCGAGGGAAGGCATTAATCTATGCTGGAGGGTTCCACCACCATCACCCAAACACCTTACATTAGGTCCAGCCTCCAAAACGGGATCAAATTTCAACATGAGGTTTGGAGGGATCAAACATCCAAGCTACAGCAGTAGGTAAACAAATAGGACAAACTACATTACCCAAATCCACTTGACTAGGAGGAATTCAGCTGTTAGACCTAATGAATGCAATGAATAGATGAAAATTTTAGCCTTCTATACACAGGTTAAAACAACTTTCAGAAATACAGTTGTTTCCATATCACATCAAACCAATTTATGTATTTGTAAATTAAAACTTTAAGTTATTCGGTTTATCACCTATATGCATAACACATAAATACAAGGAAAAACTAGATTGATTTTTCTTTTTCATTAATTACATTACTGACAGAATGTTTGAGCTTCAAGAAAAAACTCTAATCAGAACAAATTTTGGTAAAAACTGGCACTATATAAGAGCAAAATTTCTGTGTAATAGGAAAAGACAGACATATAGATCAATGGAATAGTATAGAAAGCCCAGAAATAAACTCTTGCATATATAACCAAATGACTTTGACAAGAATGCTAGATATTCAATCAGAAAAGTATAGTTGTTTTTGACAAATGATGTTAAGAAAACTGGATATTCACATGCAAAAGAATGAGGTTGGACCCGTACCTTACTCCATATACAAAATTAATTCAAAATGGATTAAAGACATGTAAAGAGATGTAACAGTTAAAACTATAAAACTGTTAAAAGAAAACATAAGATAAAAACTTCATGACACTGGATTTGGCAAAGATCTTGGATATGATACCAAAAGGCAGCAAAAGCAAACAGAGATAAATTGCACTTCATCAAAATCTAAAAATTCTGCACATCTAACAACATCTATCTTTCTATAGCTACTATCAACAGAGTATAAAAGGCAACATATGGAATAAAATATTTGCAAATCATATTCTAATAAGGGTTCAATATCCAGAATATATGAACAACTCATAGAACTCAACAACAACCCAATTTAAAAACAGTTAAAGGACTTGAATAGACTTTTCTCACAAGAAGATATATAGTTGGCCACTAAGAACATAAAAAGATGTTTAATATCACTAACCATTAGGGAAATGTACATCAAAAGCACAGTAAGCTATCCCTTCACATTCATTAAGATGACTATTTTTTTAAAAAATTAGAAAATAATAAGTGGCAAGGATGTGGAGAAATTACTGCCCTTAAGCATTGCTTGTGGGAGTATGAAATGCTGTAACTACCACAGAAAACAGTATGGCAGTTCTATGTTTAAAAAACTAAGCATGGAATTACCATATGATCCAGCTATTTCATTTCTGGGTATGTACGCAAAAGAACTAAAATCAGGGAAGCAAACAGATATTTGTGCATCAGTGTTCACAGCAACACTATTCATCATACTGAAAATCTGGAAACATCCCAACATCCATGGATCAGTGAATAAATAAATGTGTTATATAGATACAATGGAGTATTATACACCCTTAAAAAGAATGACATTCTGACACATGCTATAAGGATGAGCCTTGAAGACATTATGCTAAATGAAATAATCCAGACACAAAAAGACAAATATTGTATGGTTCCACTTATATAAGGTACCTAAAGTAGTCAAATTCATAGAAACAGACAATACAACGGTAGTTGCCAGGGCTGGAGGGAGAGGAGAATGGGTGTTATTTTTTAATGGGTACAGAGTTTCAGCTTGGAAAGATGAAAGATTTTTGGACATGGATGTTGGTGATTCTTGCACAACAATGTCAATGTGTGTAATGCCTCTAAACTTTACACTTAAAAATTGCTAAAATTGTAAATTTTAAGTTATGTATATTTTACCACAATTTAAAAATACTAAAGTGCTTGAGGTCAAGGTTTATGTCTTTTTCTCCATATGTCAAAAGTTGGCCACACATTGGAGCCTCCAGAGTCAGATGCACCACATTTAAAACCCAGTTTTTTCACTTACCGGCTATTTGACTATTACTAACCTTTAAAGATTATTATTTGCATATCTATGAAGTGACAGTTAGAATAATACCTACCTGTGACTTGACATGAAGAATAAATGTGTAATGCTTAAAAATGTTTAGTATAATGCTGACAAATTGTAGTCACTAAAGAATTAACCACTATTACTCCTGTCTTAGAAAATCTGACACAGTGCTCACTTCTGAGGCCACCTGCATTTCTGGACACGGTCTTGGCCTTGATTCTCTGTCTATAAAGTGGGAACTATGTAGTTTGCATCGCAGAGCTGCTATGATGAGATTATGTGAAAGTGCTTATAAATTACAGGACTATATAGAAATAAGCTATCTCACAGCAGAGAATAACAAAATACATTAGAAACTAAAGCAAAAAAATGGGAAGGAAGGAAGGAAGGAAGGAAGGAAGAAGGAAGGAAGGAAGGAAGGAAGGAAAGAAAGAAAGAAAGAAAGAAAGAAAGAAAGAAAGAAAGAAAGAAAGAAAGAAAGAAAGAAAGGAAAGAAACTACTTGCCACGAGAACAATTTTCAATGCTGACTTTACATGTAAAAACACTTCAAAAGAAGATATTCAGAAACCTCCAAAACTAGAATTACAATATCCAGGTTTCTCAGATATAAAAAGATTGATTACACACAAAAAAAGAATATTTTATGGTGGCATTCGAACACATGAAAAATAACCCAAATACCTATCATTCTAGAACCATTGCTCATACCACACTTTATGACTAAAGAAAAACTACCCTCCGCATAGGCTCTGGTCTCATCGCATACTCAGTCTCAATGGGATTTCCTTAAGAGTCAAAACCCCGACAATTGCATGAAGCCGGAAGCTCAGCAATCTTCTGAGGGCATCTATCTTGTTTTCTAAGAAGCATTTTGGAGGTTTTTCTTTACCTGGAGAAAGCACTGGCTAGAGCTATCTGTAAGTGCACTTCTTCTCTTGAACAGCAGAGGGTACTCCAACTCCGCGAGAGACAGACCATCTCAGCCCCTCAGTCCGCTGTGTCTTCCTGGCCTCGTCAAGACATGAACCCCAGACCAAAACAGTTCCGTTTCCACAAAATATTCCACTGAAAACCTATTACTATTCCGTGGGAATTATCGGCACATTCCAAAGGAGTAAATGGAGCCGTGGCAAAGGGAAAGGGTGGAGTCCCACCACACTGCAGGCTGCCTTAGGCCTGACCAGTTCCTCTCATACCTCTTACATTCTAAAGAGAGTTAAAAAATGTCTGTGGCAGAAATTGTGAAGGATTAACGAATACCTCCCATAGCCCCTAACTCCAAAGCAGAGTTACTGAGGAATATTAAGTTACAGCCACACAGCGTCAAACTGGCACCTGGCTGAGCTGTCCCACCATCTTAATAAAAGTCCCACAAGCAGAGGGAATAGGATGGGAAGACTCTTACCTAGCACGCTGTCAGGAAAAGTTTAGGAAACACAAAACAAAGCAGTGACTCTACCAGCCTGACCAAAATAAAGTCATCTTACTTTAAATGTGAATGTGCCTAGAAATTTCTGAGGCTAATTCATATTGTGCAAATGATGCTGCCTTCTAACGTGACACTGAAAGAATTGCAAAACATTCTCTAAATATAACAAACAGAAAAAACTTTCATGCCTTCTGCTCTTTTCTTCCTGATGCCATTATTCAGGTAGTTATTCAAATGGCCCTAATTTAATTAAGGGAAAAGCAGATAAAACTTTTTCTTTTTTTCTTTAATACAACATTCCCTTCACTCCATTCGTATGGCTTAGGAGTTCGGGTAATTCTCTGTAAGGTCATCCAAGGAAGACTTCTTTTCCTTTTTTCTATTCTCCCTGGCTGCTCCCTTTCCCTATCCCATTTTTGTCATCTTATCCCCTTCAGCCAACACAATATGCATTCTTTCCAGATCAGCCAAGCATTACAAGCAAATAACCACTCGCTGGGTGCGGTGGCTCACGCCTGTAATCCCAGCACTTTGGGAGGCCGAGGCAGGTGGA
This sequence comes from Homo sapiens, assembly GCF_000001405.40. Lineage (NCBI taxonomy): Eukaryota > Metazoa > Chordata > Mammalia > Primates > Hominidae > Homo > Homo sapiens. Next base: position 57,722,042 of record NC_000002.12, read on the forward strand.
TCAACTGAGGTCAGGTGTTCGAGACCAGCCTGGCCAACATGGTGAAACCCTGTCTCTACTAAAAATACAAAAAATTAGCCAGGAGTGGTGGCAGACGCCTGTAGTCCCAGCTACTTGGGAGGCTGAGGCAGGAGAACCGCTTGAACCTGGGAGGCAGAAGTTGCAGTGAGCCAAGATTGACCCATTGTACTCCAGCCTGGATGACAAGAGTGAAACTCCATCTAAAAAAAAAAAAAGATAACCATTCAAATATGAATCTATATTAACTAATATATCATGAAGTCACCTTGCCTTTGTGGTTTTGGCAAAATTCTGGTGAAATTTCTAATGAAGGAAACTCATTGTAATATCCTTCAGGCAATTTAACAAGCTTCAGAAAATGGGGCATATATAGAATATACAATAGATTCTTAGGTCATTCTAGGCACTGTACCTTAGGTGCCTTGGTAGTAGTTACTAGGCCCTTTTATGGGCTTTATGAAGATAGAGAATCAGGTTCAAATTCTGTCTCTGGTGGTTGTTTTAACCTGTGTGACCTGAAGTACTTAACCTCTTTGATCTTCCATATTCCCAGATATAAAAATAAAGAGAAGGACAATCTAGGGCTATTAAAAGGATTCACATTTCATAATCATGTTTCAACCACAAACCTGGGTGCTCAGTAAACATGACATTTTCTCTTTGATTAAAAGAATGAATTAAATGCTACACCAATTTTGTAAAACTCAAATTGACAAATGTTAGTTTCATCCAAAGCATTTGCATGTTTCTGGCCTAGAAGTTCAAATTCTTCATTTTACTCTCTCCATTTCAGGGCATACAATGTAAAGAAGCTTCACGAAAAATAAAAGAAAAGTGAAAATATATTTAGCTACAAATGATTGTCCTCTTCCCTGAAAATTACAGAAGAGGTATCTTCTATTAATGGCAGTGAACGAGAAAATGTTCTGCTGCCTCTGAAAATGAACAGGCATAAAGAAGACTGACAAAGAGCCACCTGACATTGCCAGACTTGTGGAGAAGGCTTCAGTGCAGTGCTCTCAGCATTTCTAAATAAAACTGCACATCTAGGTTTCTTTCCAAATAGTATATTGATTACTTGCAGTCAAATTGTGGTCTTTCAAACAGCATGTTCCTTTATCATCATGGAACCAGCAGTTTCAGATTCCGTAATTGAGAGCTACATAGTTTATAGGAATTGGTATTCAGAATAAGACTTTTTAGTTTGAAGCTGAATAATGATAGATGTATGTGGAGATCAGTCGCTTGCTGGGAAAAAATCGTGCAGTTCATGTTTTCATATTTTTGCCAGGAGAAATAGCACCTTATGCATTTTTTCCAGAAACAAAAATATTTCCATCCACCATACCAGTTTAGAAGACTGAATTCTAGAAATTTCTTGGTGGTAGTTTCTCTTTTTGGGGAGAGGGCTACTCTAAACTAAAGAAACCCCCTAAATTCACCTCCTAATATGGCAAAATTATTTGTTCCATATTATATATACCATATATTTTGTCTTTAATGCTCAATTCATGAATTGTGAAAAATGACAGAGAGAATGTATCATCTAGCTATTCCATGATGGATCATGATATACTTGTACCCTCCTAAATGAAAACAAATGCATACTTTTCAGTCATTTACTTTTTTTTTTTTAAGTAGAGGTCATTAATGATCTTCCTTAATTTTATTTCATCCATATAATCATATAATTTGAGAAATATCATTAATGATATATCTGTCCCTTCTTTTGAATGTGCATATATATATTATATATATTTCAAGCTAATTCAAATATAAATATTAAAATTATTCTTTAAATTTTTATGAAATATTTTAGATATATTTTTAAAATAATGAACTCCGTAATTGATTATGGCACAAACATCCCTTACCCTGCCCTTCCCTTTTTGGTGGGGAGAGAGAGTCTCAAATGTAGTGATTTAATCAAAAATAGACTTTTTAATTCACATCTCATTAAATATGAGTTTAAAAGAAAAGACTAAAGTGTTTTATGTAAAGTTCTGTGATTTGTAAAACCTAAGAGATTGCTCCCGTAGCAGTTCCCTGAGCAAAATAAAATCAGTCCATTTCAGAAGACATAAATTGCTTACCTGTAGACTAAAAGAAATCTAAAGGAAATGTCCTACTCTCCTAATTAGAAATATTTGTAGAGAAAGTATACTGTTTATGACACTGGAAATAGTTTCGTCTGCTGGTTCTAAGTGTGTGTGCTATTCTAAAAGGCACTATTCCCACAATTAATTACAGTATCATATGATTATAATTTTAGATGTAGCTCCATGATGTATTTTGAGATGTCACTAATCCACCTTGATCCCCCTCTTCTCTCAAGCTCTGCAATGTAATGTCATGTAGCTAGGCATTCCAAGCAGTTTTCTAGTCATTTCATATATTTTAGTTTACAGTTTACGAAGACTGCATATTATTCGTGGGCACAGACTCACAAAAGTTTGCTTCTTATATATCCCTATAGTTTTAAAAAAATTAACAGGTATAGAATAGGACCTCCAAAATCGTTTTTTGTTCAAAATAAATTATTTTAGGAAATTTTATTGCATACTAACAATACTTTTTAAAATCACAGTGATTTTGTTATGGTATCAGTAATATCAAGAAATTGTGAAAAGTTATTTGCAAACTATAGTCCTTCAATCCAAATTATTTTGTCACTTTACAGCACACACATTTCTTGGTGAAATTTGCAGGCTTCAGTATATATGTCAAGTAATGACTAGATCTGGAATAGTTGTGTTAATTTGGAAAAAAATGTTATTAAAGTTTTATTTTGTTAGCCTTGACATATTCATTTTATTATTTTAAAGTAAAAGAATAATGAAAGTGGAATTGAAAGGTTTTTTTATTTTGAAATTTAAGAATTATTGTATCATGTCTTAAAGAATTGTAAGATCCCAATAATATGTGAAAGGAGCCAAAGATATTTTTACCTAAACAAAATGATCAATTAATAGTTTATCTTTACTTTTCAAATTCAGTAAATATTTGTCTGATTTGTTTCACATAAAAGAGAAGAGACGGCCACTTGCTCATCATAAATTACATAATTATTTTATGTATGTGAATTTTACATTATGATTGTTTTTGAAAAACCCCTCGTAAGGATTAGGGAATCCTATTTAAGAAACGTAGTGGCATGTAGTGTGCACCAAAGGGAAAGAAAATCAACCTGTATAAAATTTGTTTTGCTAAAAAGAAAAAAAAAAAGGCAAACTGGAATAAGGAGAGTGAAACAATCTTCCTTCAACTCCAACATATACTTCATTTGCACCCCCTACAATAACTGTCACGGTTTTTTTAAAATACTGCATGAATTCATGCTAAAATTCACTTTTAAAGCAAGGAACATCTTGCAGTAGCTTGGATATGTCCAGAAATAACATGAGTAGTGGCTATTTTACCCAGCAGGCTCCTTTATCACTCCAGAGAAGGAAAGTCGACAGCCTTTGTATCTGCAGTGTAATTAGCTTGTGGATGTAGGGTCATAATGAAAGCAAAATTTACATTATTACAGGCATGTGGCTGTTTGCTTGTTCTAACTGGCATAAGAAATGAATTCCACTATGTACATTTAAAGATGTATTCAATCCATTTTCTAATACTTTTCCCTCCAGGAAAGCAACAGTGTGTTCAGCAAGCTGGAACTAAACTGTTACTGAATGGAGAGTTCCCATCCTGCCTCAGTGGAATCAAAGAAAAGAGAAAGGCTCCAAAATGAACACAATGCGTGTTATTTGCTACCATAAACTGTGCAACTGGTTTCTACTGCTGTGTTGCAATTGAATAGTAATCAGGAGAAGTTACACGTTGTTCTTAGAAATAATACAACGAATCCTGTCAATCTTAAGTCCTGACACTGAATTTAACGCTCTCTGTTTAGTCCTACCATCAAGGATGATTTGCAGGTGAAGAATTCTTGATAGTCAGATGCAGACTACGTCTTCAGATCCTATGGCCTAAGGTTATTAAGGTGGGAGAAGCAAAACAAATGCGGTTCTCATCCAGTAATAATGGATTTACAAGAATTTGAAACAAAACTTTCCTTCCAGCTACTGCTTTCATGTCAGAGAAATAAAATACATGTACAAGATTTAAAGCTTTATGTGTCTAACCCTTTCTGACCCCTTTTACATTCAGTTATTAATAATAATAACTATGATAATATTGCTTATGCCCAGGGCTGAAATGAGGGTTAATTAGTTAATATTTATAAAGCTTTCTGAAAATGAAAAGTACTGTTTAAGCCCTAAGTGTATTCTTTTCTTCTTTCACTCTCTTCTTTCATTTCCTTCTTTTATCACAGATCAATTGATTCTTCCTCCCATCTGGCTAATTTTTTTCACTGGTTATATTTCCTGCTCGTTTTGGATTATTGCCCTTGACTCCACATTGACCTCAATCACTCTTACCCTTCAACATTGTGTTTGCTCTTTTTGCCTCCCACGCTTTAGTCACTTCTTTCTCACTTTCATTTCTTCTTTCTAGTCTTCCTTTATCCACTCCTAACACTAATCTCGTAGCTGTAGACTTATCTTTTTCATTGTCCTCATTTTTTAAGCATAGGTGAAATACCGGAATTGATATAGATTTAATTTAATTTTATCTCCTATGTTATGCATTATTGAGACCAGAAAGTAGATAAATCAAATTGGTCATACCCAATCCTTTCCTACAAGATAGTAAATGTTTTGAAGTCACAGACTATTGCCATCTGGAATAGTCCTTCTTTTGTAACCCAGTATAATCTCCACAAAAATGTTATTTTTAAAAAATCCCTCCACTCTATAACATTCTGATGACCTGTAAGCTTTCAAGAAGTCTTCAGTGAAAACCTGTCTCTACTAAAAATACAAAAAATTAGCCGGGTGCGGGTGTCGGGCGCCTGTAATCCCAGCTACTCAGGAGGCTGAGGCGGGAGAATGGCGTGAACCCGGGAGGCGGAGCTTGCAGTGAGCCGAGATTGCGCCACTGCACTCCAGCCTGGGCGACACAGCGAGACTCTGTCTCAAAAAAAAAAAAAAAAAAAAAAAAAGTCTTGAAGGTGCTTGGAATTTTTGAAAAGTTTATTATATGGCATAAGTATGGGTCAGGTGTTAGCTGGTTCCACATACTTCCCATTGTATGTACAACTTCTAAATAAACAGCAATAAAAGCATATACTGACTTATTATTTCCTTTCTAAAAGTAAAAGGATAGAAATAATACAGCTGTTCCCTTAAGCCCATACAAAGAATTTAGTTGTAGTTACAAGGATCAACTAAGTTTTAATAGTATATTTTAATGGTGTGTTTCAAGAGAGTCTATTAACTAAGAGAGTTATTCAGATTGTGGAAATAGAATGCCCAATATAAATACATAAAAGTCTCTTATAAGTTCATGACTTAACTAGTTGCTACCTAATTATTCTCACTTAACAGCGTCCCTGTATCTAATTTTGTACATCACCACCAGAATACTCTAACTAAACGACTTAAACTTTGCTATATGCTTGTTCAATGACATTAGGGCCTTCAAGTTGCTTATAAAGTTCAGCACTTACCAGCTAATACCCTGAATATCGCTCTCGCACCTTAAATTTTCAAGTTGAATAAAATATTTAGTAAACAAGTACTCTGTGCTATGTTAAATGCAGTTCAGCAGCATTTTGCCATGTGTACAGGCCTCCTGGAGACCCTAGAAGTACCAACCATTGTATCTAAAACTAAAACACCCAGCAGAACCTGGCTTGGGCTTCTGTTCAGCTATGCATTCATTCAAATTCTTCGTGCCTACCAACCAGTTGTTAACTGGTCCCACAACATCCTCTGTTCTTTTCAGTTTCTCTGCAATTTCAGTCATATTCACTCCATATGACCTTGCCACTCCTCTCTGCGTATCATTTTTTGATAAAACAATTTTACCATAAACATTAAGGTAATTATTTCTCGTCCTATGATAATTATTGTTCTTTAGATTTATTTTGATGATTAACCAAGCATAGCTTTGTTATACTTACTCAACAAATAGACATTAAACTCACACACATTCAAGTCACATGGGTGTGAATATCAGGAGTTTTCTAGGTGCTACGGGAATATATGAACCAGTTGCTATTATTTAAAGATATTTATCATCTTGGGGACATAAACGAGGAAGCAGGTGACACATGACAATGAAGGGCACCAACTAAATATTATAGGAATATAGACGAAGAAGGAAACATTTTCAGCAAGCAGTAAGTAGGTAGAAAGTAGTTAGTGTTAGAACTGGTATATTACTGATGGTTAAACAAGATCGTAAGGCGGGCTGGGCACAGAGGCATCAGCCTGTAATCCCAGCACTTTGGGAGGCCGAAGTGGGCAGACCATGAGATCAGGAGATCGAGACCATCCTGGCTAACACAGTGAAACCCCATCTCTACTAAAAATACAAAAAATTAGCCGGGCGTGCTGGCACACGCCTGTAGTGCCAGCTACTCAGGAGGCTGAGGCAGGAGAATCATTTGAACCCAGGAGGCGGAGGTTGCAGTGATCCAATATTGTGCCACTGCACTCCAGCCTGGATGACACAGTGAGACTCTGTCTCAAGAAAAAAAAATGTAAGGCTATTTTAAGCAGATACATTAGTTACTTCTTGTTGTGTAACACATTATCCAACAATTTAGTAGCTTAAAGCAACAAACATTTTATTTATTATGTCATAATTTCTGTAGATTAGGAATCTGACTCAAGGTCTCTCATGGGATTGCAATCAAGCTGCTGGTTGGGGCTACAGTCTCATCTGAAAACTTCCACTTCTAGGATAACTCACATGTTGGCTAGCCTCAGTCCCTTGTCATGTGGGCCTTTCTACAGGGATGCCTTATGACAAAGCAGCTGGCTTCCTCTGGGTGAGGGAGAGAGAGAGAACACTCAAGGCGAAAAGACCTGAGAACTGACATTACATCATTTCTGCCATATTCTATGTATTACACATAGATGTGAATATCAGGAGGTAGGGATCATCTGGGCCCTTCTTAGAGACTGCCTTCCACTGTAATAATGATAATATGATCAAAAAACAAGGGGGAAAATGTTTCATGGGCATTTGGGAGTGATGAGCAGTCCAAGTTGGCTGGACATGTCACCCAAATATGGAGAGCTCTGATATTGCCAAAGAGTTGATTTTATGGAGTAGCTGGAGTAATGTTGAAAACATTTACATGAGGCCAGGCACGGCGGCTCATGCCTGTAATCCCAGTACTTTGGGAGGCCGAAGTGGGCAGATCACCTGAGGTCAGGAGTTTGAGACCAGCCTGGCCAACATGGAGAAACCCCATCTCTACTAAAAATACAAAAATTAGCCAAGTGTGGTGGTGCGCACCTGTAATCCCAGCTACTCAGGAGGCTGAGACAGAAGAATTGCTTGAACCCAGGAGGCAGAGGTTGCAGTGAGCTGAGGTCACGCCACAGCACTCCAGCCTGGGTGACAGAGCAAGACTCCGTCTCTCTCTCTCTCTCTCTCACTCTCTCTCTCTCTCTCTCTCTCTCTCTCTCTCTATATATATATATATATGAACACCACATTCACAGTGAATATTTTAGAAAAATTTAACTCATTTTATTAAAAAGTACCAACTTCCATGGTGGTTGAATTAATTTATACTCCCAACAACAGTATGTAGGTGTTCCTTTTCCTCTGCAACCTTGCCAACATCTGTTACGTTTTTACTTTTTAATAATAGCCATTCTGATTGGTGTGAGGTGGTATCTCATTGGGGTTTTGATTTGCATTTCTCTAATGATCAGTGATACTGACCTTTTTTCTTCATATGATTTCTGTCCACATGCATGTCTTCTTTTTAAAAGTATCTGTTCCTGTCGTTTGCCCACTTTTTAATAGAATTGTTTGGTTTTTACTTGTAAATTTGTTTAAGTTCCTTATAGATGCTAGATATTAGATCATTGTCATATACATAGTTTAAAATTTTTTTCTCTTATTTTATAGGTTGTCTGTTTATTGATAGTTTCATTTGCTGTTTAGAAGCTCTTAAGTTTAATTAGATCCCATTTGTCAATTTTTGTTTTGTTGCAATTGCTTTTGGTGTCTTTGTCATGAAATCTTTGCCTGTTCCTATGTCCTGAATAGTATTACCTAGGTTGTCTTCCAGGGTTTTTATAGTTTTGTGTTTTAAGTCTTTAATCCATCTTGAGTAAGTTTTGTAAAGGTGTAAGGAAGGGGTCCAGTTTCAGTCTTCTACATATGGTTAGCCAGTTATTCAAGCACCATTTATGAAGTAGGGAATCCTTTTTCCATTGCTTGTCTTTGTCAGATTTGTCAAAAATACTTGTAGGTGTGCAGCCTTATTTCTGGGTTCTCTATTATGTCCCATTGGTCTGTATGTCTGTCTTTGTACTAGTGCTATGCTGTTTTGGTTACTATAACCCTGTAGTATAGTTTGAAGTTGGGTAGTGTGATGCCTCCAGCTTTGTTTTGTTTAGGAGTGTGTTAGCTATTCAGGCTCTCTTTTGGTTCCATATGAATTTTAAAATAGTTTTTTTCTAGTTCTGCGAAGAATGACACCATGGTGATTCCTCAAAGACCAAAAAACAGAAATACCATTCAACCCAGCAATCTCATTACTGGGTATATACCCAAAGGAAGATAAATCATTCTATTAGACATATGCACACATATATTCATTCCAACACTATTCTTAATAGCAAAGACATGGAATCAATCTAAATGTCCATCAGTGGTAGACTGGATAAAGAAAATGTGGTACATATACACTATGGAATACTATGCAGCCATAAAAACTAACAAGATCATGTCCTTTGCAGGAAGACAAATGGAGCTGGAAACCATTATCCTTAGCAAACTAATGCGGGAACAGAAAACCAAATACCACATATTCTTATAAGTGGCAGCTAAATGATGAGAACACATGGACACATAGAGGGGAACAACACACAATGAGGCTGATTGGACAGTGGAGGGTGGGAGGAGAGAGAGGATCTGGAAGAAATAACTAATGGATACTAGGCTTAATACCTGGGTGATGAAATAATCTATACAATGAACCCACATGACAAAAGTTTACCTATATAACAAACCTGTACCTGTATCTTGAACTTAAAGTTAAATTTTGAAAAAATTATAAGAAGTATGAAAGTTAAGTGATTCTGAATAAAGTAATACCAGTTAAAATGCTTATATAGTAGCCCAAATATGAAATTCATTTGAAATGGGGATTATTTTAACTCTTAAATTTCATTATATAACTTTTTATGCATAATATATATGTTGTCTATCCATTGAGACTAAGTTTTAACACAAGGATAGTATATATCTTTTTATCTTCATTATGTCAAGCACAATGTATTTAGGCAGTATTATGTAAGTACTAGTTGGAAAGAAAAAGAAGGAAAGAGAAGGATCACACAAAAGTAGTATTGCAGAAAAGAGTTTCAAGAAGGACGTTGCTGACTTTCTCAAAATAACACAAAGTATTTGGGTTGGAACTGAAAAGAGGTGCCTAGATCTTAAAAAAAAAAAAAAGTGAGATTTTTTTCTAAAAGCAGTGTCAGTGGAGGGATAACTTAGAACTCAACTACATTGAACGAATGGGGAGTGGAGAAATTGAGGCCTTCAGGATAGATTCTGTTTTCGAAAAGTTTGGTGGTGCTGGAAAAAAAAAAGGAAAATATTAATAGTAGCTAAAGAAAACTGTGATTAAAGTATGTAAAGACTTGAGCACATTTTTAGACTACAAGGAAGCAGTAAGGAAAAGAATTTAAAGACATGAGAGAAGAAAGACTTTATGGTACTAAATCTCAGAAAAGACAGAAAAAAATAGTTTTTAAGAAAACAGAGATGGTGGCATTAATTGTGGAAAGACACAGGAACGATTCTTCTTCCATAAGACAGGAGGAAAATGTGGGTAATACGTGAGAAAATGTTTCTCACTTTACAAAGTTCCATAACAAAGCCTCTGAGATCAAAATGATAAAAATTATTATAAGGACAATGACATGTGCTTCTTTGTGCATCATAAATAAATAGAATCTAAAATATAGGTAGGTATATGCAGGGTTAAATAAACTGAATCTACGTAGTCTCTGTTGTTTAAAATATTTTTTCATTTTGTATACCTTTGCTTTACGGACTTCGTGGAAAACTTATTCTCATAAAATAAAGCAGTCATAGAGTTTTGTGTTAATATTAGGTCAGCTGACTTTAAAAGGATGTTCTTTTTTACCCTAGATTATCAAAAATTCTATATAATGAATAAGCTTCTACAATATTAAATGCATGGTTAGAAAATATAGGAGAAAAATACAAGAACAAAGAGTTCCTGCCTTTGAAGAACTCATAATAGAGAAAGCAGAGTGACAATTACACAAATTTCTCTATGACAGAGTAGATGGCATAGGATCGCTACTAACAAATCAAAGGGGATTCAAACAAGAAGGAACAAGTGGCATTCAGGTATGGTCATCAAGATGTCTTCATGAAAGAGCTTACAATTTACATGGAATTGGCAATTGGACAGGACTTTTAAGAGAAACAATAAAGATAAAGAACACTCTAGTTTTGAGGCAAAGACACGAATACAGGCATGGAGTCAGGAGATTACCGGAAATATTCAGAGAAAAGCAAATATCTTAATTAAATTCAAGGGGAGGGGCATGAGGCAAGAGTTAGGAATACTCCTGAAACATCTGGGACAGTAATAAATGAAGTTTTAATCAATGAGTCAATAAATTCAGATCTATGTTTTAAGAAGCTTAATCTAGCAGTAATATGCTTTAGAATCAGTAAGAAAAAATGGAGAACTCAATTAGGAGCCTATTGTGGTACTCCAGACCAGTAGTGGAAATATAAGTGGAAACAATGTCCAAATGGAAAGCATTGGTGGGATGCTTGAGGCATTAGAAGGTAAAATCAAAAGGATAAAGCAAATAACTTGGATGTGAGGGTGACGAGGGAGAGCTGGGAATTACTCCAAAGGTATGTAGCTTTGTTACCTATGCTGCCAAAAATTCTTATATTTTGAAAAATGGACAGTCTCCAAGAATAGCAATATAAGGATAGTGCAGAATATTTTGGAAGTCAATTCATACTTCAGAAAATTCTCTTTGAACCCCATAGCTATATAATGGCCTAAGTGGATGTCATGAGCTACAAGGTTCAAGAATCTCCAAAGGATAAAATCAACAGAACATTTTGGAATATGAGCTTTGTCCAAAGATCATGAGAAGCAAGAGAGGGAAAATATTGCTATATAAGTATTATACTACAGACATCATAACTAGTAGAATGCCAGTGCTGGGAAATAAAACTGCTGCATAGTAGGTACCAATGGCTAAGTGTGGTCAGCTTTTGTAAAGAAAATGAGTAACTCTTGCCAGGACATTTTGCAGTATCCATTCCTCAACAAAATATTCTTCTGGCTATCAGCTCTTACTCTTCAGGATCAATCATCTTTCTAAGAAATGCCAAAACATCTTTAAAATATTCCTTATCAGAGAGAACCTGACAACAGCGTAAAGGCATAACGAAAGTTAAAATTTTAACAAGCACAAGTTGGTTAATCAGTGTGAGATATATTATTTCTCTCCTTGGTAAAAGATGCAGCAAATAGATGCTCTGTCCTGTCATTCTGCTCTTTGAAGTACAAAGACTTGTCTCAAATGAGGCCCTAAGTTCTTTCTTTTCCTTTTCCTTAAATCAGCAAATCTACTACACAGGCTCTTACTGATACTAGAGTCATATGCCTCTTAATCCAATGATATATGAATTATGGCAGTACATGGCTCTGAAAGTGCCTCGAAAGCAAAATATGGAAATTCCCACCCCACTCTCCCAAGAGAACAGGATGAGCCGTCATTATTTTTGTGAATTCAGAGACTATCCCTGTGTTCAGAGACAGCATGTATATGTCTGTCTCTCTTTTTGAAGTTTTGTTTTGTTTTATTTTGTTTTGTTGTTTTGTTTTTAACATGAAACCTCAGATGTACTCAAGGACAGTTTGCCAGCTTGGTCAAGAACACTACAATATCTACATATTCACTAAGTCATAAATCTTCTGTACTTTGGCTCTGTGTATATGACACATGACCCTTATCTCTCCCTAGTGGTTGCTTACTCAGAGAAAATAGAGGTCTATGGAAACACATTGCTTCCTTCACAGGTAATATTTCACACATACTTCTTTACATCTTCCTACACATCAAGAGGTACAGTCTGGAAGGGTAGTATAACACAAATTGTCCTAAATAGACTAATTTGGATCAAATGAGAAATTTTCCCTAAACATTTGTTAGTATAGTAGTATTACCTACATGCTTCCAAACATTGTTTATACTTCTTAGGAGCAAATGAACAATCCTCTGATTTCTTTGGGTATTTGGTTCAATCTGTCTCTCAGACATTACTGAGTTCCTGTAATAGTTCATTCTCACTGCTGATAAAGACATACACGAGACTGGGTAATTTATAAAGAAAAAGAGGTTTAATGGACTCACAGTTCCATGGGCTGGGGAGGTCTCATAAACATGGCGGAAGGTGAGGGAAGAACAAAGGTGTGTCTTAAAGGGCAGGCAAAACGAGAGAGTGAGAGCCAAGCGAGAAGGGAAATGCCTTCCAAAACCATCAGACCTCATGAGACTTATTCACTACCCTGAGAACAGTATAGGAGAAACTGTCCCCATGATTCAATTACTTCCCACTGGTCCCCTCCCACAACACGTGGGAATTATGGGAACTACAATTCAAGATGAGATTTGGGCGGGGACACAGCCAAACCATATCAGTACCATAGCAATCTCCCTAGTATTTTATGGAAAGCCAGCAAAAGTGATTACAAAGGGAGCACTTGCCTTGACCAGAAAACTCTGTCATTAGGTTTAACATTCAGACCCGAAGCTCATTTCTCTTTCTCATTGAAAAACGGATAACCATGTTATGAACATTAGCCATATTACCAGTATAACCAAGAGGAAATATTTGTCACTTTTTTCACTAGTATTCATAAAACAAATAAGCATAGATTCCTTGGGTTTGCTTGAATACCCAAGAAAAATGGCCACTTCAATATGCCAAGCAATTTAATGAAAAGCGACTTCCAAACTGTGGGTTCCATTTTTGCTAAAATTGTAACAAGAAAAAATACAGGAAAGTATGCATAATGTTATGACTTCTAACATTTCTCTGAATTATAATGAAATGAATTATAATTTCACTAAATGACAATGTCTACCCAAGAAGTGGTTCTCATTTCTCATGTTTCATATATTTCTAATATTTCTTTTTCTCAATTTTTTGGTTCACATTGAGCTAATCAAAGTTCTTATTACAAGTAACAGAAGCCAGATTTGCCTAACTTAAAACAGAAAATGGATTTATTGGAAGGATATGTGGAGGCACACAAAATTGATGGACCTACTGGACAAACAGCCAGCAAAGTACACAGGAACGTACAGAGTATGTGTGGGAAGCGCAGAGACCACCACCATTATCATGCCATTGGGATAGCCCCATTTTCACTCTACTTCAACTCCATGATTAGTCCCTCAACAGGCCCAACATCTTTGTATCATCACGCAGATTCAAAATCCCAGGCTGAAGTATCCAATGATAGTACTTCAGATGTCTACAGCTTCACTCACTGAGAACTGGGAGACACTTAACCTAACATTGTATTTAGTGAAAAGTGTTGTCTGCCAAGACGCAGGCAAAGGAGACATTCACCCTATCCAGGCTTCACATGTTGGACAAGCAAAAACCATGATAAATATCCATTGCACATGCTACAAGGAAAATTATACTTCACATGTCAAATAATTATGTCTGTGTAGTAAGCATATTAATTTTTGAAACTTGGAGAATGAAACAGAGGGAAATGTATTGAACATTATCTTTTTGAAACTTTTTTATCAAATAAGGTATAGATCAATTAATATTTTCTATTATATAAGATGTGGAAGAAGGATAGTATTTCCTTCATCATTTTTAACCCTCTGCCTTTAAAAAGCATTATTATATTTATTAATGAAAGCCATTTTAACACTAATACTAATGCAGCACAAAGCTATAGCTATGGAGAAGTTAATTTTATGCTTAACATTGTTCTAAGTGTTTCACATGTATTAACTAACTCATTTAACTCTATTGATTCATTTCATTTAGCAGAGTTTCTAGGGGTTTCTGAAATCACTTGGAAAAATAAGTCATTTAAACTTCAAGTGAAGTTACTAGCATCATTAAGCCTCATTAAATGCTAGAAGAATCTAGAACTGCCCAATATCCCATGCTAAAATTTATTCTTTAAAATTGGCATCATTTTCTGTAAAAGAAGTGAATCTTATTTCATAGTGCATGTTTGTTGCCCTAACTCAAAGATGACTGTAATGTGATCAAAATAATACTATATATATGCAATCTTTAAATAAAGCATTTATATTAGTCAGGGTTCTCTAGAGGGACAGAACTAATAGGCTAGATGTATATATAAAGAGGAATTTATTAAGGAGTATTGATGCACATGATCATAAGGTAAGGTCTCACAATAGGCCGTCTGCAAGCTGAGGAGCAAGGAAGCCAGTTTGAGTCCCAAAACCTCAAAAGTAGGGAAGCTGACAGTGCAACCTTCAGTCTGTGGTCAAAGGTCCAAGAGTCCCAAAGCTGAAGAACTTGGAGTCAGATGCTCAAGGGCAGGAAGCATCCAGCATGGGAGAAAGATGGAGGCCAGAGACTACGTCAGTCTAGTCTTTCCAAGATCTTCTGCCTGCTTTTATCCTAGCAGCTGATTAGATGGTGCCCACCCAGATTGAGGATGGACCTGTATCTCCCAGTTCACTGAATCAAATGTTAATTTCCTTTGGCAACACCTTCACAGACACACCCAGGAACAATACTTCATATCCTTCAATCCAATCAAGTTGACACTCAATGTTAACTATCACAGCATTCCTAGTAAATTTACAAATGGTAACTGAAAAAACATCCAATTTGGAAATCTTTAGGGTAACATGATTTAATAGGCTAAAATTATACACCAGTTTGTTTTAATTACCACCATTGTATCAAATAAATATAGTCCTTGAACTGTAGTCCACATAGTCTACTGCAGAGAAAATCTAAATCACACATAATCCCAAGACATAGGGCACTGGTTGTCTACACAATATTCATAATCTTCTCATTTACCAAGAGAACTCCAGTAATGTACCCAGCTAAAAGAAAACATTCTTCAGCCTCACAACAAATTACAGGCAGCAATCATAGGATGGTGTTCTAGGAAAATTCTTTTTCCCCTAGTCTTCCTTTTTGGCTCTTTTGGTCATTTCCCCTTTCCTTCCTACTATCTGCCTGAAAGGTACATATAATGACTAGACCTCTAACAGTCAGTTTTAGGCTATAAGATGACACTGAGGATCGAAGCCATGAGCTAAAAATGGCAGAGCAGAAAGAAGGAGACTGGGTCCCTGGACAGAGCGTGGAGACACTGTATCTACCCTAGGCTGCCACCTCTGTTCTTATATATCAAGGTAGATACATAAATTCTATCTTGCCTTGATCATTTTAAATAGTCTAATATCTACCTAGCAATTTACCATTGAAAATATTTCCCACATATATTACCTCCTTTCAAAATTCTAATAACCTCAAAAGACAAAACTATCCTCGTTTTATAGATGTTGAAGCAGTTTCAGATGCTAATTGACTTGCTCAGGATTATAGAACAAGTAAATAGAACACCTTTGATGTGGACTTCAGGTCTCTAAACTCAGATTCTATCTCCACTAAAGTGTATCGCATTATCAGAGAGATTCCCCACCTGTCCCCTCCCCACAAGGTTAAATTTCTTAAAATATATAGTCAGATTTTTAGCCTGTAACAAGTAAATTTATTTACTTATTCTTTATATTAACAACTCCAATGTAATGAGAAAACATTTTATTCGCAACTTCATGGCCATGGGGCAATGAGAAACACAACAGTTTGAAGATGATTTGCTGGGTTGCCCGAAGTCTTTGTCAAATTCATTTTAGAAGACTTCCAGTTATCTGACTCAGTGGCCCAAAAGAAGCCAATTACAGAGACACAACATGAGTGGAAGGAATTAAAATGATAGGAAGAAATGAAAGTCTTAAGATCCATGATTTACTGGGGATGTAGGTACAATATGGAGACTAAAAGGAAAAGACTTTGTCCGAATATTAAATAATAGTGGCATTTTAGTATAAATTATTTGTATAATTAGATACATAGTCTAAGCTTGGAAGCTTAGAACTTTTTGCTTTTACTTTCTCTATATAAACAAACACTTTGAAGCATGAACTGTGCAGTTTTAGAACAGTCAATTGGTCGTGATTTTATGTATCCATTGGTAGTAGGCAACCAGTCTCTACTATCTGTATTACATGAGAGAGAGAAAGGTGAAGAATGGGCCCTGGATTCAAACTACAAAGTCAAAAATTGAACTAGTGACTAGAATAGCTTAACCATTTTTATTCTACATAAGTAAAAATTAATAACTCTAGAAATGAAGAACCATATAAAACAGAGTAAGGTATACCCACCATAATAAGGCGTTTAAGTGAATCTTAAAAGAAATGCAAAGAATCTAGTATAGTAAACCAGTAAACGGTAGACTTTGTTATCAGGAAGACCTAGGATAGAATACTGACTTTCCTGCTAGTGACTCTGTGGCCTTGGGCAAGTCATGTAACCTCTCTAAGCCTTGCTTTCCTCACCTGTTAAATGAGTATGATAAAAGTGTCTCAAAAAGTTACTGTGAGCTGGGCATGGTGGCATGTATCTATAGTCCCAGCTACTTAGTAGGCTTAGGTGGAAAGATTGCTTGAGCATCTTGGACAACATAACAAGACCTCATCTCTCTAAAAAAAATTTTAAAAATTCAAAAATTGTTTTTAAAGTCATTGTAATTAAAGAGATAAAGCTTGGTGGGTAGTAAGTGGGATAAGTGCTCAAAAATGGTATCATGATTATCATTTTCTAGATAAATCATAATTAGAATTTTTTTCTAATTTTGGAGTCTTCTCATAGACTTCTTAGGTCAATAAGGTATAATTTACTCAAAGATATCCCCAAATAGTATTAGCATAATACTATTTAGTATAATACTAATTAGTATAATCGACTTATTTGAGTATACATACAAGTGTGTCCAAAATATCTTGATCAAAACCAGTGTGGGTTATCATTTTGGGCTTGTTGTTGTTTTGTAACTTAGCCCAAAATAGACTGTATCTTTCTCTCTCTGAAATACAGATATTATTTGAGGCAAGAGTAGGTAATACTAAGATGGGATTTTTTTTTCCCTGAAATCTATCTTTCTGAACCATCTGATCTCTTAAAGTACCGAAAAAATGATTTATTACAATAAATAGCCTTAAAGATAAAAAAGAATGAGATTAAATTCTGACTACTAAGGAGAGACATTTCATCTTTCTTGATTTCAACAGGGCTGGAAAAATATCAAATTTGAAATAGGAAAATACACCAAGTATTCTCCCGTCCTTTGGCCACTAAATGTTAGAAGTGTAGCTGTACTGAGGACAGGAGGCATAAGAGAAAGTACACTGCCATATAAAGTGCCTCCTAACCCACTGTTGGATTTTCATAAGGTTGTGGTGATGTTTCTTGGGGTTATCCAGATTCCTCCATTAACTGATTGATACATTATATCTAATCAAACTGCCATCTCCTGGTACACAAGTTATTTCCTGGATCCTGTTTGAAGTCCACTGGAAGTCTCCACTCGTTAATGCTTAGCTGTGTAGTGCCTTTGTAATAAAGACAATGATGCTGCTGCTTTCCAGAAGCACCTCAGCACAGAACGACGCCAAGTTACATGTGCATTTTAACCACTGGCTCTGGAGCAAGGCATTTAAATGAGAAAACTGAAAATTAAAAACTCATTAATTTAGAAGACACTTTTGCTGAGTATCAGGCAGTATGGACAAAACAGAAGACTACCTATGAAAGAAAAGTTAACTGCAGAAATTACAATGACAAACAGGAATCCAGGGGAAATATTTAAGATAATTTATATTTAAGCCTTCAGAAGAATAGATAGGCTAATTACAAATATTTTTAAATCTATTCAACAAAATATTTTGAAGAACTTTTAAAATGATCTGAATAGCCTAGGTTGACATCATCTCATTCTCAAAATACTAAAATTTATGTCTTTTAAAATGTTATATAATGAAGATCACTCTTCTCCAAGTTAATCTGAATATTTTACAATTTTTTAAAAGAAATAGGCAAAAAATTATTATAATTGATCAAATATTAAATTGCATATGTTTGGAAATATTTATTGTGTTCTTTTAAAAATATGTTCACATATGTATATACACATGCATATGTACACATACTCAAGTATACATCTACCCAGAGACACATATGTATATATATGCTGCTTATTTCATTCATTGGATGAACTGAAAAATAAGTGAGGGTCACAGAATCACTTGAGAAACTAAATGCAAATATCAAAGAATACCTTATCAGTAAAAACAGACAAAAGCTTCAAATAGAATAACCATACAGAGTAGCCAATACAATTTTTAAACAATTTTGGCAGGCATATCTAAAATACGTGCTGGGAAGGTAAGTCCGCCCATCTTTTCAGAAAAAGACAGAGGTGAACCAAATGCACAATACAGACACAAAGTCAGTACCCAGAAGTAGATTTGAAGAGGAGAAAAGGATCACAAATCCCAGAGACGTCTTTACATATATTTTGATGTTTTCCTTTTGTGTACGGTATTGATGAGTGTGTCGTGTGCTCATTGAGAAACCAGCCCTCAGTAATTGTCAGGGATCTTCATTCTGAGTGCAGACTCTACTGGAAATTAATTGCTTCGGTGCAATCTGAACCACATCATAAATGTCATGTAGAAGTTGCAGGGAGTGAGGAGGCAGTGACAGCTCAATCCACACTGTTTCATTTAAAGGTGGGTAAAACACACTGCGACAGAAGTGCTCTTCATCAATAATTTAGTCCGCAGTGTAAAGCCAAGCCGTGCCAAAGATGCCAGGGGAGCCGCTGCCTCCCTGGTTTTAATGACACCAGCAGGGAGGGGTTGAGGGGCCAGCTCAAATCAACATTCACTGCACATCTGGGCATGTCGGCAGATGAAGATATCAAGGACTGAGCTGACAGGACAAAGGGTTGAAAAAAGAAGTGTAACCTAGAAAACCTTTACTTTGAATTCTTTGTATAAATTCAAGGGAGATGACAGTTCCTAAGGTCATCTTATATAATAAAACTTCAGTGATCTACATAGAGAATTTTAACCCTTTCTACCATGTAATCAAAGAAGATAAAAGTTTAGTTTCTATCATTCACTTTACGACTCTAAAATATTCCCATTTGTTCCCCGCAATAAGACTTCTGCGATGAGTCAAACGCTAACCAGAATTGCATGATTTCATCTCATGAACCCTAATTACAGCTTCTCAGAAGCCACACTACAGTTGGAGGTCACTCCAAGATCCTCTTAACTTAGGGGAGTTTAATATCTTGGCTATTTCACAATGTGTTTGCCTGAAACTCAAAATTTAGTTTGGGAGCTCCCACTGTAATATAAAGGAAATAATGTAAAATGGCACAACCATCCCTTCTTTATCGTACCTTCTTTTAAAAAAAAAAAAAAAAGGAAGGAGGTGTATGTGTTCTCACTACCTAAAGAACGCTGTTCGTGGGATTCTAGTGCAAAAGTTTGAATCGAGTTTGAAAATGAGGATTATATGAATTATATGAGTGGCAATTTTGTCCTGCTCTTTTGAGGACACCAGCATTCCCAGGTTGTGCTATTCTTGGAACCCCAGAGACCAAATTCAATTATCTCATCCTATGTTTTGTATATTTAGAGGACATCACAGCCTCACAAAGGGCTGATTGGATTCTCATTCTCACACTAAGGAAAGTCAGCCCTCATTGAAGGAAATTTACTGAGTTTCCATTTTCCCCCAATGGTTTTCACTATAAAAAAATGAAATTAGTAACATTATTAATGCTAATCAGTTAAAAGTTTAAAATATTTAGCTATATAAATGAAAAATAAAAGACAATCAGTATATGTGATTTATAAAGAAAAAAATAAGAGTGTGAAATGAATTTCAAATTTACTACTCTGATAATATTTAGCCTCCTTCAGGTGACTAGTAGTCAGGTTTTATTCAAAATGAAGAATGTGTGAGAAAGTGGTAGCCATATTAGTTTGAAAGTGTGGGTTCATGGGATAGTATATCTTATTAAGCTAATAAATATAAATCCCCAAGAATTCCTAAGCACGACCAGTCCATCTTGAAGTCAAGGTAGAAAGTATGTAACACAATTGAAAGCACATTTCTAAAATGTCTTATAGGAATCAGTGCACCCATTGCTAGTTATAACATTCAGGAACAACACACGAGAACTTTAAATCATTACTGCAGATCACTTCATCACAGTATATCCCTCCAGTCTAAATTTCTGATATCAAGCAAAGGTTATAAATCTCACCATTAATATGCTAATTTTTCTATAAACTTAAGAAGAGGACTGCCAAAAATATCGAAGATATACAGCTAGACAATTCTATAGGATTTAGATTTGACTGGCTGAACAGACACAATTCAACCCAACTCTTGAGATGGGGTTTCCCAATGGAAGAAAATGCAAGTCGGTGAAAGGTCTTACCAGAAAGAAACGTGACTTTGATATCAAATCCTCAGCTAAAGTATGTAACAGAGTCTGTAATTAGATTAATAATTGTCAAATCAAAAAACTTGTTTTAGCGCATGTAAATTTTCCACCCTTTGTAGCTGATAAAATAGACACAGTTCGTCAATAAAAGTCATATTTTACTTCAGTTAGACCGATCCCACCATTTTTGGCTTTCTTCATTGCGTTACTATAGTTAAGGTAGAAAAATGATTTAATTCCATTTTAAAAAAACAAAAACATTCTTATCTACCAAGAAGATACATCAGAGAGAAAGCTATTGTCTTCGAATGTATTAAACTGAACATACGAAATTGTCGATACTTGATTTCTTTACCTACAAAAACGCAGTTTCATATGGCTTAACCTAGTAATTCTTCACCTAATAAAAATTTCATAAAAACTTCACTTAAATAAAAATCCTAATGGAGTGTTTAAATATTTGTAAAACCATCCATTCAACAATATTTGAAAAATTTCGAAGCACTACTATGCATCAAGCACTGTCATTGGCCCTGTTTTTTTGTGGTTGTTGTTTTTGTAAAAAATGCAACTAGTAATGAGAATGCTTGCTTCTTAGAAACAAATTGAGAGATATTAGGAAATGAATGAATTTAATGCCAAGATATTTGGATTTTTGTTAAATGACAATTCATAGGAAATGACCAAATAGTGTCTTTGAAATTATCTCAGTTTACAGGAAAGAAAATGTGAGTGATAATGATTTTTCTACTCTTATATTTTTAGTGTCCATAAAAGCACAATCATGAGGCCAATTTACGTAGAAAACTGCCACAACCTGCTGGTGGCAAAAAAGACCTGGTGGGAGGATATTTCAGATAGGCTATTTAAACTAAAATAAAAATGGCAGTTGTTACAAATTTCAAATTAATGTCCACTTTCTAAACCAAAGATGCTCAACTGTCTCTCCATATTCACATGTATGAGTCCCCTGAACTCCAGATGGAAACGGATGTTATAATTATCACGGGATTGTTGTAGCTTTAAATGGGAATGGAAAATAATCATGCTGAAGTGTCAGATCCAAAGGATGGCTGCTTTTAAAAAGCCCATTAAACAATATTATTCAATGTTAATGGTAGCATTATCAGAAGGTCTTTGATAATGTAGCTGCCAATTGTGCTCTCTTGATTTGTAACTTTCTTTGAGGGCTTGGGGAACATGAGCTGTTTAAAGCACCTTTTTAAAAAGCTCCTAATTCCTTTCTGACTTTGACTATTCTCTTTTTCACCGAGGAACTGAATGGAACCTGTAACTCTGATTAAAATGAACTTAGACTATACAGAAGGCCTGCCTTACAATTATATATGTGCCAAGATTAAAACTCAGATATCTTGTAGTCAACAGTACCAGGCTAAGTGGTAGGTAATAGAACTTCCATTCAAAACTTTAGAAAAAAACAGAATGAGTATAGCCTTTACGGAGGGGTAGATAAAATACTTCAGAGGAGCAGATTTCTAACAGATAATTCTTTGCAGAAAAGTCACAACCATTCTAACACAACTAGCTATTTTAACAAACACTGGGGTGAGGAGTTTGCCACCTAAGTATTGCCCAAGACACATGACTGCATATTAGTGATGGTAGCAGATACATTTTTAATTAAATCTTCTTTTATTTAGAGCATTATGCAACACCTGGGTGACAGAGTGAGACTCCATGAAAAGAAAGAAAAGAAAAAGAAAGAAAGAGAGAAAGAGAGAGAGAGAGAAAGAGAGAAAGAGAGAGAGAAAGAGAAAGAAAAAAGAAAGAAAAAAAGAAAGAAGAAAGAAAGAGAAAGAAAGAAAGAAAGAAAGAAAGAAAGAAAGGAAGGAAGGAAGGAAGGAAGGAAGGAAGGAAGGAAGGAAGGAAGGAAGGAAGGAAGGAAGGAAGAAAGAAAAAGAAAGAGAGAAAGCAAGCAAGCAGGCAAGTTTTTCCAGGGTGTGGATATTTTCGGCCAATGAGTTGAACACTCTTAAATAATAGCTATGTAGGCAGTGATGGATGAAGTGAACAACTTTATTCTAAGAAGTCAACTCTTTCTTCATTTAATCTCAACCTCCATGTAGAATCACAAGATGTACCCTAAGAGCAGACTTTCCTGCCAGGCCTGTTAGGGTTGAGAAGTAACACTGCTCTGGTCCCACTGGGCATCCACTCTACACACCAGGAAATTTAATTTGTCCTAAAGTGAAATATTTCCCAGAAGAGAAAAACATTCACCTGGACATTTCTTTCCTTGCCATCCTCTTCTGCACTCATGATGTAATATTCATGGTTATAAGGGAATGGGGGGTGGGAAAATGACTTGTTTATAGAAAGTAAAAGAAAAGGTGTAATTAGAAGATGGTAAGCAACTCAAGTCTCAGTTACCTTGACCAGTTTGTGAGATCTGGGGGAAAAGAAGGTGCTTTGGAGATCTGCAGAAAGGTCAAAGGAAAATATGATGTGGGCAAGGGGTGAAGGGTATTTGAGACAAGCCAGGGAAGCAACATTTCAAATAGGCTTTTAAAATTCACTTGGGTTTGTACTATATGTCTCTTGAAAGAGTTAGAAGCCCAATATATAAAAAGCTGACTATTTATATATTTGATTCCTTAAAAGCAATGAGGAATACAAAGCAGATGGTCCAGCATTGTAGATTTCCCTTTTCATATTGCTTAAACACTAGAGATCAATAAGTCTAATATAAACAGATGATTTCCATAGCAGGGTTTATAATTAGCTGGCACTGAATGTGTCCAAACTCTAAAATAATTAGCAGAAGCATGTGGCACACCATTAAAACCTTGTGGCTTGTCTGCATTTACATTTATAATTATTAAAGTTAATTATGATGCTTGTGTTATGGTTCCAAGCTCCTTTACAACTTAGATTAAATATTTTTTTAATCCCATAACTTCATTTCTAACCTTCCTTGAGCCTCTGGAAAACAGTGAAATCATACAAAATAAGGAATGTATAGCTGCAGTTTTTTGCTCCAAAGGGTACTAGTCTGTCCTTATCATGAAAGATAGGCTCTTCTTAAAGAGCTGGCAGCTTTCTCAACTGATAACAATATTTCGATCTTGAATTTTAATTTGTTTGTAATGATGGGACAGGCAGAATAACACTGCTTACAAGTCTTTGGAGTGAAAGCTGTCATTTTTGAGAGCTAAATGAATGGCAAGTTAGTGTCAATATAGTCTCCTCAATTTATTATATAGTGAAAGAGAATTTAAAATAATATACATAATGGGCTTGGTTCAAGATCTAAAGATACTCTACATTATTTTAGAGTGCAGCTGATACTTCACAGGAAAGGAACAAACAGTTCACCTTTATTTTTAAAGTCCACATCCCCTGAAAAGGCTATTTAGCAAAGCCCTCCACTGTATTGGGAACCTTGGATACAACAAAACACGTAACACAGACTTTGCCTACTCAGCCAGAACAATGACAGTCTTAGTCTCACCAACAGTCATACTAACCACAAGAGCATATTTCTTTAAAATTTGCCTCAAGAAATATGATGACATATTTTTGGTGACCTTATACTCAGGTGTCATTTATTGTCATTGCAACAACTGGCCAGTGTTCTTAACATAAATCTCATTAAATCTGGAAATTTTTTCATCTTTGGTCAAGAACATTTTAAGAAATTTATATTCTATATCCTATCTAATACACCAGGCCATATTTAAAGACACAGTTCTTAACATATTTACAAGTCAGGAAATCAGAAAAGGAACATTAAATACCTTATTTGTCAGATCTGCTCATGTATATCTCTGTTACTATATTCAAGTTATCTGTAATCAATAAGTGTAACAAATGTGCTTTCTTTATAAAAGAGTCCATTGACTTATATAGTTTAATGTGATTTATTAATATTTATTTTCTGGTTCTTTCCGTTCGCTAGAATTTTGCGTAAGTACCATACACAGTTGGCATCCTACAAAACAAAAACAAAACAAAAAAATCCCTGTTTTTAGCTACTGTGCTTTTCAGATCATTTCTACTCAATTTTTACATGAGTTTAAATACAGTACACTCATTTATCTGCAAACTGTAAAAGACATAGCTATAAAATATCTAACTTCCAGTCTCATTTTTACCACATAGCTGAGAGAGATTTTAATAAAAATGACCATTTTTTTATAATAAAGAAAAATCTTTTGTTTCATCACTTCTCCTGTTGCATCACTTACAGGTAAAAAAATTAAAATATACTTTACTCAAGCTATTAAGATTAGAATGAAATTCATGTTAATTTCATTGCTAATGAAATATGTAGAGACATAAAGACACTGTCATTTTAACGTAGCAGTTAAAAAGGAAAGGATGTAATATCAGCAGGATGATTTTAAAATTACTTATCATTTTAATAAAACTATTAAATAATTATGTCCAATGAAATTTTACACTCATTACTCTTTAAGAGATAAGAGAGGAACAGAAAATGAAGAAAAGATGGAAGTTAGAATGAGATGGATTAAGGTGAGAAAAATCTCAAAATTGGAATGGAAAAAGAAAAGACACAAGAAAAGGTGTACATAGAAAGGGTCAAGGAGAAGATTAAGACTGTGGAATCCAGGTATTGGAAATATCTGCCCACTGGAAAAGATCATGAATTTTCCTCCTGCCCATGCTCATACTTGAATAGGGCTTCAACAATCAGTGCAGTAATTTTTCCTCCAGAGCAAATATTCATACAATGTGCCTAGTATCACTGTAATAGAAATATGTATTATTACTTACAGTCTATGTTATATTTATGCTATGTATGTGTTTATCTGTGTATGGTATATATTTTTGCTCTGTGCTTCTCTTAAAATTTCCTGAGGGTACCTGCATTGAACTGTTAGTCATGTATTATTTTTCCTAGAAAAACCTAATACACATAACAATCTTTCTTAATTGTAGTATCCCAGGGAGAAAAACAAAAGCAAGTTTTTTTTAAAGTTCTTCATATTAAGATAAAGAGGACATTTTTATAAGAAATCTTGTGATATTAATACTTTGCATTCCCTGCAAATATCCATGTCATCATTCACAGAATTTAATTACAGAAACATGAATTATGCCATTATTCATCTGTATTATCAATAAGTTGCACTTTCTAGGTGTCTTATATGTTTGAGGCATTTTATTATATACTGCAGTCACTAAGATTAACCTCAAGTGACTCATAGCCCGATTTGGGACACAAAGTGTCATAAGCAATATGAGATGGTGCCTGCTCTGTAAGAAATACACAACATAAACTATATGTAATAGACATGCAGAAAGAAAAATAATCACCCAGGAAACATTCACTGAAATAATGAAACTTGCAATATGGTTTTATAGAAGGACAGGATATCAAAGGGCCCAGATCCTGGGATATTGGGACAGGATTTTTCAAGCCAAATTTTTTAAAGGCATGGATTAAGGTATATAATATATTCAAAGAAAAAAGATAAGCCTATTTGGAGAACTAGGGAGATGTCACCTTTAATAAGGTCCACAAGGAGTTTGTATTTCAATCATCAGGCAATAGAAATTTTTTTTCCTCACAACGTATATTATATAAAAAAAAATCAGCACAGTATTCAACTCCATTTTGTTTTTGTCAATATATCCTTGCCTATAGAGAACAAAACTAAGGTCACAGCCTCCCTGCAGCTCAAGTGTTTTCATTTCTCAAATCTCCAACAAAAGACACTCATATTCCTTTCTCAGAAAACCCACATTCTTCTCTCAACTAGTTAAGTCTACTCTGTGTCCATCATACACTTTCTGGCCCACACTTTACTTTCCTCTGGCTCAGGCCAGACCAGGAGATGTCTGGAATATGACAAGGTAGTATGAGCCTGCCAGCTCTATTCTGTTAGCAAATTTATTTTCTTCTCTTAGACGGATGATAAAAATGTCACGGTGTGATGCTTTAGCAGGCCCAGGAGCTCCCACCTACAGCTGTGGGGCTTGAGTGGGACCTGAAGCCAAGAATGCCATAAGGAGCACAGACAGCAACTCCGCCATCACTGCTCCTCCTGCATTGCTCATTCTCCTGCTAAATGATGCAATGGGACCCCCTCAGGGATTCTGAGTCTGATCATGTTTTTCTTGCTATTTTTTTACTTCCATCTTCCCTTCACTAAAGCAGCCCAAACTACTGAATTTTTCATGAAACAGATAATATCATTGTACACAAGATAATGGCATTCAAATACATCCATCTGCTTGTTAGCTCTGACTACATTGATTGCAATTCTACTGAAAGAATATTTACCAAAAAAGTGATTTTTTTCTGCCTTTGCAGTATTAAAAAATGCACAGTTTCATAAGGGAACTATAGAGTCACTGGTATATACACAACCTAAGAGGGGAAAATGATCTGAGAAATTAAGCAGTGGTCCCTGGGGTGCATCCAAGAACAACAGTTTATATTATCTCAAAGACGGATTTGAAATCCAGATGAGTTTTATGACTCAATGATTTTGTTCTTCCATCAACTGAAGTATGGTTGGTGGAAAACTGTGTTTCACTGGCATGACAGACATGGCCCAGGCAGCTCCCCTAAAGGTTGGAAAATACACAGTCATGTCATTGTTCATCCTATCTAGAGTGGCCATGACTGGATGGAGCAGGATGGGAGAACAAGGCTCCAAGCTCCAAGATTCTTCCGGTCGTCATGGGTGTTGGAGTGATAGGAAAGATGAAGAGAAGATCAGAGTAGAAGTGAGAAAAGGAGAAGGCAAAGGAAGTGTGTCCTTCTGATCTGGCCTTTCATGGCCTCGAATTTGGTTTCTGATCCTAGGATGAATAATCATCAATCTGATTCAGATGAGGAGAGTTCACTACATTTTTTCACATCTCAGCTCAAAGGCAGAGTTTCTTTCTGTCTGTATCATGAAATGTTACTCAAGAATTCCTAAACACTATCTCAATTCTCCGATACACAAATGATACATTTATTCATTTATTTACTCTGCTACTCTAATTGCCATTCTTACATTCAGAAGTCAAATGGAAAATTAATTCAGCATGTTGGTGTATGTGTAGCCATTATGTCATAAGATGTTGTTTCCTCCATACTTTTTCTTTGTCCTATTCAACCACAGTCATGTCATATTAACTGGCTTGGATTCTTATTTGAATAATTGCTAAGACATTTTCTAACTGGCATGAGATTTTTAATTGAATGTTCAATTAATTCAATTACCCCTAGCTTCCCTAAATTCTAGACAATTATCCCTAGCATCCTTAAATTCTAGAAAAAGCTTTTTATCCATTATGTAAATAAAACAAGTTTATTTCATTCCATATTGTCTTCAATTTTCTAAACCAAGAGAAATGACACATTGCACTTAACCTAAACATTTTATAACAAAAAAAAAAAAGCTCTATCATTCTTTAATACCTACAACACTTGTAGACAGAAACTTACATAGGACATCCAGGAAATGTTTTAAAGACTCAGTCAGAACTTCCTTCACTATAAAGAGGTAATTTAATTGAAAAACTTAAGATGTACTGCTATAATAAACACATATACACACACCATGCACAGCCCCATCTTTTGAATGATATCCAGATTGGGCAAGAATGGGTAGGTATAGACAGGGATCTTGTGGGTATGTCTTATGGAGTATTATTTTCACAGACTAAGGGATACATTAAGCTTCCTGGGATCTGGGTAATTTCTTCTATGTGCTCTGGACCATATGTGGAACCTTGTGTGAACCCAACAAGTGCAGTTCACCCTTGAGCAATGTAGAGGTTAAAGGTGCCAACTCCCCATGCAGTCAAAAATCCAACTTATAAATTTTGTATCCCCAGAACTTAACTACTAACAGCCTACTGCTGACCAGAAGCCTCACCAATAACATTAACAGTACGTTAACACATATTTTGAATGTTATATGTATTATATACTGTATTCTACAATCAACTAAGCTAGAGAAAAGAAAATGTTATTAAGAAAATCATGAGAGAAAATGTGTTTGCTATTCATTAAATGGAAATGGATCGTCATAAAGGTCTTCAGGTTGGTCTTGCCTTCTCACGAACGGCCAAAGGGGAAAAAGTCCACAAACAAGTGGACCTGGAAAGTTCAAATCTGTGTTGTTCACAGATAACTGTAATTAAAAATGAAGTTAAATGTACATTTTTATTATTTATTGGTAGGTATTTCAGGCCATTGCTGAGTCAAAAAAGCAACTTCTGCTTGATCATATGAAAATTCATTTTCTTCTTAAAACATGTTTTATCATTTGTGAAACAGAGGTACACAAATTGCTATCAATCCTTGATATTCTTGAAATTAATAAAAGGTATTTGTGTAGTTTTCTGTATTTTCAAACCTTCCCATTTAATGAGTCTATCTCTTGATGTTGTATGTAGTTCAAATAACTACCACTCCTGCATGCCAATGCCTAATAAGGAACACTTATTTCTAACACCCGAATAAACAGCCATGATATCTAAATCAGATAACAAAGGTACCACAAGAGCAATAAAATGATCTTCCTCATTTTAAATATCAATGAGAAAAAGGTAGTAACAATAACCGCATAAATCCTTACCTCAAACTTTCTTCCAATGGTTAAATCACTGAAAATTAAATAACCAGGAAGGAAAGTGAATGGGAGAGTGGACCATTTTGGCTCCATCAAATGGGATAAAAGAAAGACCTATATATTTTGTATTTTTCTAATCAACCTTGAAGTATATTGGAGGAAATCAATAAATATTAACTATATTAGCTAACAATTCCATCATAAGTCAATGGGTTTTCTTTGTACACAGTGTTGCACAAAGCATTACCTTGTATTTTCTCTCTCACTAATATAATGAGAATTAAACATTTTGGTCTGACTTAAGCATATAAATGTTAGATCTCCAATATGGATCTATCATCTCCATGGCTGTTTCTGCAATTTCTTCCTACTCAAGCAAGATAACCCATTCATTGCATCCTCCAATTTCTCTTCTTAGGACTAATATTTATGTCAGTCCACTTCCTGTCTCTATTCATGTAAATCTGTCAACTACAGTGGCTTTTCCTAATAAAGCGTAACTGCTTCTACATAAATGCAAATAATATTGGGTTCAGGTCATTTCAGGACATGTGAGACAACTGTTTATAAGTCCTGCAAGTTCCGTAATACTAAAAACAAACAAAAGGATAATTACTTAGTGCTATTTCAAACACAATTGTTATAAGATATGAAAAGGAAAAATATTGTTTTTACTCTTAGGGACCTATAATTTAAAATAATAAAGAAGAACAAATAATAGTATCACATATATGAAACAAGCACCAACATGTAATCTATGATTACATTGCAATGCTATGGAATTCAGAGGAAGGAGGAGGTAATTTGGGCAAGAGTGGTAAGGGAAGGCTGTGTTCAGTGAATATAATGAGGAACAATTTGAATGATAGGCAAATAAGGAAGGAAAGTAGGGAGAGAGGAAGGGAATGACCTTAGAAATCAAACAAACCTACTTTCTCCTATTATACAGCAGTAACATAATTTTCTTAAGCTGGAAGAGAGAAGTGATAGGAACACAAAAAGAATTCAAGTTCTGACTACCAAGGTATTGTCCCCCTGTGATAGGAGACTACATTTTTTCCAGTATCCAGTAACCAACCTCATTCAAGAAAAGTGGAGAGTGGGATCCTAAGATCAATAAAATACAATCTTTGATAGGGGTTGGCAAACTTTTTCAGTGAAGGGCCAATCAGAGAACAAATATTTTAAGCTTTGGGGACCATGTGGTCTCTTAGAGCTACTCAGTTCTGCCTTGGTAGGGTGAAAGCAGCCATATAGAATATGTGCGAAAGTAAACATAACTGAATTCCAACAAACTTTATTTACAAAAACAGGAAGCCAACTGAATTTGGTCCATGAGCCAAAGTTGTCCAGCTCCTGTTCTATGAGTATATTAAATAAAAAATTAGACATATACTTAAATTCAATTAAATCTAATCCCAATTACACTGTTAGAAAATATTAAATTTGAACTCAGTTTTGCCAGAGTATGTTCTCTTAACTATTGCTGTTTCTGTTAGAAACTAAGGCAATGCCTTACTTTGTCTCTCAAGATTTTTCTGTTCAAAATAGCTTTAGAAATTAAAGAGGTAAGTTAATTGCTGTTCTACTAGAAAATGGTGGATTTTTTTTCTCACAGTCCAGATTATTCAATAAATAAAACCTAGGTAAGAATTAAATTGGCACTCTGAGTATTAAGCTAATAAAATCATGATTTGCAGAAAAGTTAGATTTTGAACCTAATTCGCATGGCTTATTATAATTGTATTATTTGCATGGCTTTCATAATCTCCAATTCACATTAATCTTACCTATTATTTTGGCCCTGCATTCTCCTGAAACTTTCAATTCACATTTCCATGAAAGTTAGAAACCCACTCAGAGAAGCTTTCATTTCCTTAAGGGAATGTACTGTTGTGTCTTCAACCTTCAGAAACGTTGCTGAAAGCATCATATATTAATGACACGTTGCTGAATTTTAGAAATAGATTTATATTATATAAAACCTAGAATGTCACAAGGAAAAGTAGAGTAATACAATATCCACATGCAGATCTAACTGTCACTTCTACCTCCTAACCTCTCTGATAAGTCAAGAATCTTCTCTACTTGAGCACCACCAGACCCAGAAAGAGGTGCTTACAGAGTCCAGCCAATTCAACCATTTCTGTTAAATGGTTGGGAGTTCATTTACTTTCAAATGTAAAGCAAAAAAGATTATTTGAAACGAATTCAGCTTAAGTAAACCTGTGGCCAAATGTATTATACAGTTAAAGTTCTATAATTAATCACAGCCATATCTTCTATCACAAAAAGTAAAAATTATACAAATATGAGTATTATGTTAGATATTTGTAATATAATATCAATATTGTATATAATATTAAATATATTATAGTATTGCCTATCATATATATTAAATATTATAATATGCAAAAGAATATATTCTTTAAAAGATTTGCAAATATTTAGCTAGACTAGGAGGGCCTACACGTGCAGGAAGGTCCTTCATGTCCAGTTAGTACTGACTCATCATTATATTCTCATTTTCCTCATTTGTTCTGAAGGTTAAACTAGTGAAAACCACTTTAAATAGGGGTTTATGAAGAGTATTGCCCATGTGGCTAAGGGTACAGCCTTCTGAGGCCAAAACTTGGATGAGTGAATTTCAAGTGGCCAGAGGGTCATTTTTCTCCAGTTGTTTAGATGGCCCTGAAAGTCAAAGCCAGAGAAACAAAGGAAACTAGAAGACCTGGATGCAGGAGAGGAAAAACCTCGGATGGATGAAGGAAATGTAAAAGTCTCCAACTGCTTGTAAGTGACTACTGGGGTGGCAGCCTGGTTTAGAGAGTGCATGAAACAGTTGGGGCATGTTCTGCGCTCTAAACAGAAAATCTCTTTCTTCTCCCTCGAAAAAAATTAAATAATATTCTAAGATCCTTTGCAATTCATGCCTTTTGGGAAACTAAATGGGGATACATATATTTTGGTTTTTTTTTCATGTACTTTTTGGTGTTGAATGCAGTCAGGCTGCAAACATTTCACTAGATTTAATATTTTTAAAAAATTTCAAAGTGAACAAGAATTTTGACATTGCATATAATATCCAAAATGTTCAGGAAATTATAAATCAGGATGTAGAAATTATCATACGTACTAGCATTATATAAATGATAAAATATTATAGAACCAATATATGAACACAATGCAGAATATGTGTGGAGATGTTTTATTTCTTTCTTTTTTCTGCCCAAGGCAAAGCTGGGTACCACTGTCAGTGCCCTTCTCTATAGTTTAAAAAAAAAAAATTACACTTCTCAACAGTACAGCAAAAAAGAGTGTGCATTCATCTGGAAAATCCTCAGGCCTGGACAGAAGAATCCCAATTGCTATTCAAACCCTTACGATAATCTAATCTAGAGAGAGATTTTTCTTAATGAATAAAAATGGCTTCAAATGACTATAAACCTATGTTAAATTAGCACCCTATTAACTTAATACAAATACCATCTTAAGCCAACTGAAATTAAATGATCCCTAAAAAAGATGATTTTGAGACTTACCAGTCTTTATCTAACTAAAAATAATTTTTATTTCAAGTGATAGATAAATGTCATTTAACTTATTATCTAACAATCAAACTTCAAGCAACCTGACCTAGCTAAAATAATACTTCAAATATAGAAATTCATTTTTTAAAAAAATCCCTAAATGACAAATTGCAAGAAAGAAAGAAAGAAAGAAAGAAAGAAAGAAAGAAAGAAAGAAGGAAAGAAAGAAAGAAGGAAAGAAGGAAAGAAAGAAAGAAAGAAAGAAAGAAAGAAAGAAAGAAAGAAAGAAAGAGAAAGAAAGAAAGAAAGAAAGAAAGAAAGAAAGAAAGAAAGAAAGAAAGAAAGAAAGAAAGAAGGAAAGAAAGAAAAAGCAAGCAAGCCAGCAAGCCCTTACGATCTTGTTCTGCTCAGATAACCTGAGGCCCCCCCATACAGCTGGCTGGGAAATAAAGCCAGAGGGTAAAACGTCAGAACTGGGAGACACTGCAGGTGCCACCATCAGGAAAAGACAAAAAACTATGCAAATCAAGCAAAGCTATAAAAGCAAAGGCCTTTAGCATTATTTGTGTAGAAATAAACTGTCCATGAATTTAAATCAAAACTATTTATAACACTTTGAGTGTTAGAGCATAAGAAGATGAACTTTAGGAAGTTAAGAGAGTGATTCCCAAATTCAGCGTGCATCAGAATCACCTGGAGGACTTGTTGAAACACAGAATGCTGAGCTCCGCCTCAAGTTTCTGATTCAGTAGTTCAGGGGTAAGGGCCAAGAATTTGCATTTCTACCAGGTGCTCATGTAATGCTGATGCTACTTTTCCAGGAACTGCTCTTTGAGAATCTTCTAGTAGGATACAAAACTTCATTCTTTAATGAAGAATCCGAAAAACTGAGAGGCAAACAAAGGGACTCACTCAAAATGAGACAAGGTAAGACAATGTTAGATCCTATATGGACCTATTACACAAAGCCTCATCCTAAAGTGTCCTGTGGTGAGATACTATTCTCACTGTTATTTCAAACCCAGCTTCTTACATGGATAACTAAATTCCCTCGGAACCCATTTTTCTAAGCATGTAGAGCCTTCCTAAAATCAGAAATTCACTTGTGACTTTGTAATGCATTGGCATTATTATCCAACTCAATCTGAGTTGTGGTAGCAACTTGTAAGTATATATACCTTGCTCTATGAACGAGTTGATAAGCTATGACTTCCTTAAAAAACTATCTTTGTTTGTGGGATTGTTTTCAGTGTGTGTGTGTGTGTGTGTGTGTGTGTGTGTGTGTGTGTGTGTTTCTGGCTGTACTTAGTTTAGTACATCAAACCACATTTAAAATGTACAAAGGGACTTCTATTTAAAGGAAACATACAGAAAATCTTTTTCTAATGTGAATGACTATTGCACACAAATTGATCTCTCTGATAAGGTGTCTTTTTATGTACCAGTTTTGGCAAAAAGCAAACTTGTCAACACATTGCTCTAACAATTTTAGATTCGGAAAATTGCTTTTACCTTTTTATGTCTCTCTTGGGGTAATTCTCCTACTTCAAGTTAGCCTCATAAGTAAAATTTTCACATGTGTTACTTTTAATTTCTTTTCATCCTTGAGAAAATGAAAGTATCAAGAGATTCTTGCTTTACAGTGAAGGGCTTGTTTGAAACTCCAATGCTCCAAGCAATGCCCTAAGTAGGTCAAATTTCCAAGCTGTAATTTCAGCAGACAAATTTGCCTGATTCCCCAAGACAATAAAAGAAGATACTTAATTCAAAAGCATTCAGCTGTCCAATCTTGACCTTCAGGGTCTTTGTGGTCTGGCTTAACTTAATCCAGTAGCCTATGACAACTAAACGTTAGCTTCAGCAGGGATATTCATTCCAAAATTCCAAACTGTACTTACATATTTCTCTATTCTGAATATCCTCTATCTTCCTATGTACATTCTATCCACTCATCTTCAAGTCCTACTCTACAAGGCTTTCTTCAAACACTCCACCTCCCAACACTCTCCATTTTCTAAATTCCTCATAAATTTATTTTCTATAAGGCTCAAATGGAAACTTAAGATCAAATTTAAGATCACATACTGTCTTGTGAAGGAATTTAACTATTTCACATGTCTGCTTTTATCCTTAACTATGGAATCAGTTTTTAGATATTATGAAATAGCTTATCCAGCACTGGTTTCAACAGCAATTACTTAACACATATGTCTTGAATATTATATGAACAAGTATTCATTTAGTGCCTATTACTATGTGTCTGGACACATATATTATAGTCCTCATATCCAGTCCAGTCAACCCCTGAATGAGCACCCTGAAGCGGTTCCCTTCAGAAACTTCCATATTTCTGGAGATTGCTTCACCTCAACAAGCAAGATATATATGGGTTATTTCTTTGCCACAACAGAAGGTAAACAAAGTACTAACACCTTGTATCTCTGCTCTTATTATTCATTGGCCTTTTCTTGGAGATAATTTCCATCCATGTTTCCACTGAAAATATTTTGTGCACCAAATAATTGAAAGTGTCTATGGTGATATGACAGTGGGTTCCAATATTATAAAGTGGGCATTATATCTCTTCATAAACAGTGTTAAATGTGATGTCTACTTTGATAAGACATCCACAATGAACATTACCCAGCATGATGGTTAAGAGTCTGGGCTGTGGAATCAGAGATCCAGATTTGAAGAACTACTGCCCTTTACTGATGGTTTGATTTAGGACTAGTTACAAATCTATCCTTGGATGCCAACTAAACATGGGATCAGAATGACCAGTATATAAAGCAGCTTTAAAGAATCAATGTATTGATACCACATAGCTACCATCAATCAATCAATCCCTGCAAAGCACTTAGCAATATGTGGTACAAAATGATCAATTAATAAGTGGTGGTTATAATTCTTTTTAAAGAGATTTTTAGCCCAACAAAGTATAGCTCACACATATGGACTGCTGAAGCACACATACACACACACACACACACACACACACACACAAGTAAGAAAAGTAGCTAAATCCAGAGAGCTGTCTGGAAACATTGAGTTCTTAATCACAAGCTGCTGAGTTGCCCAGTCTTAGAGACAACCAGAAATCCTTTTGTTGGTTTTTAAAAGACAAAATAGCCCTATGAGAGATACGGAGAGGGTGCATTCTCCTGCAGAGTGGGCTGCTGAGTAAAGATGGCATCCATGATTGGCTTAAAGTATATCTCCTACAGGACTCATAGCGACAGCTTTCATTTTCTTCTATCTTTCCTTTTAATTCTTTTCCTTGCCTGATTTGCTCTTTCTCCCTCTAGCACTAGCCCTAATCAATGCAGCAGGTCAGGTTGAAAGAATGGACAGCTTCTGCGCCACATACATTTAAGCCATTTTAATGCAAATATTGATCGTAGGAGCATAGACACAGGCCGGGCTGCATTTTTTTAATGGACATGCTTTTTTTCTGGGGCTGTGCTACCCATGATAAAATACATCACCATAGATCAGTATTCCACCATCTTTCTATGCATAGGAATGCATAAGCAAATCCAAAAGGTGGGCCAGATTCAATGCCAAGCTTGTGAGCCTCCAAAGCAGGTACTTCAGTAGTCTACTGGACCACATTTGTTTAACCACTTACACTTCCCTCCTCCTGCTTTCTAGATGAGTTATTTTGGTGCGCACAGAGACAGACTATCAGAAT
The DNA here is from genome assembly GCF_000001405.40 of Homo sapiens. NCBI lineage: Eukaryota > Metazoa > Chordata > Mammalia > Primates > Hominidae > Homo > Homo sapiens. Next base: position 57,758,555 of record NC_000002.12, read on the forward strand.
GGATGTGGTACCTTAGGTCACAAGAATAGTTGTACCACAACAAGGTCTGCTATGCTAAGACACTTAATTGCTGTGTACACAAGATTATCAAAGCATTGTATCTGAGAACCACTGTCCGAAACATATTTAGCAACAGAATCTAAGTCTGACTTGAAATTCAAAAGGAGAGATCAAGGACAGGAAGAAATTCTAAGGGCCACTTTGAAATGTGATACTAAAAAGATTTGCTATCCCATCTGTAGGCATTTTTAGGCTGGACTGGAGAGGGAAAAAAAAGAAAAAGAAAAAGAAAACCTGTTTGCACTAAGAAAATTTTCTTGGCCTATTGCCAAGAAAGGAAGTATCACAAACTGGGCACAAATTAACCTAAAACCAAAGAAAGGAGGAAGAAAATAAGTGGACTCAACAGCCTCAAATCACACCAGTTGCTTCAGAGCAATACCGTTGCTTTCAGATGTTTCTCCTTCGATTCTTTTCATAGGGTCTGTGGTTGTTGTTGCTTATTATAACTCTAAAGCCAAATATACTATTACATTTAGTGAGATGTCTGTGGAGATGGAAATGAGACCATCACGATTCTCACTATCATATGCAGTCGTTTTTTACTTCTTTTCCAGAGATCTGCTGGCCCCCACATCTTTATGCAAAGGGGTAAATGCCATCATAAAGAGGGACAAGCAAGATGTGTACACCAGGTGCACAGAATGTTCTCTGTGGGCGGATCAGCCTAAAAGGTGGAGATAACTGGAGGTGAAGAGGAAGCTGAGTGGTATGCAAAGTGGGAGGGAGGCTAGACAGAATGAAGCCTTTGACCTTGGAAGAGCTGCGTACTAGTGAAGTAGAGGGAGGGGGAGGGAGAACGGAATGAGGAATTCCTTGCTGTAATATATTCGGGTAAAAATGGGGCTGTCATCTTGAGCTACAAGTTAGAAAGTTATTACTTTTAATATGCCACTACCTTAGGCCTATACTGTTATGTAAAAGAAAAATAACCTTGTGTGACAGTTTAACATTGATCGATGTGCCTGCCAAATGCAAAGAGATAAATAAGCAGGTGATGAATAAACAGCACTTCAAGTAAAGACATTACGCTGCATGCATAAAACGGCGCCAGGCACCTAGGAGCTGTGGGTGGCCGAAGGTTGGCCATTTCATGCCCACTCAGTAAAGCAGACTTAATCGCTTCCAATATTTTCTGTTAAAAAGCACGCTTAATGAGCCAATTTCACAAGCCCAGAGAAACTGATTATTATCTCTGAGTTCCAAGAGAGTTGGTTGTTTTCCAAGAGCCAGGTTTTTTTTTTTTTTCCTTGATGGGATAAAAAACCTTTTTTAGAAAGAGAGAGAGGGGCGTAGGAGAGAGAGCAAGAGAGAAAGGGAGAGAGGGGGAGTGAGGGAACGACCGAGCCAGCAAGAGGGCACTGAGAGCCAGCTGGCAGGGGAGAGATGGCCACTAGATGGCAGTGTTACCCCGCCGTCGGCACCCGGCCCGGGCTGGGAACTGGACAGGACCATTTGGCGGAAACGTGGCATGGTGAATAACGCTGAGAGCTGTGCCTCGAGAGTTCAGACCCGACCCTCCGCCCTCCTCGGGCCTTTTGTCCACAATTTTTCCATCCTCCAGCCCATACAAGGCGAGGAGACAAAAGGGGCAGTCCCCGAATGGCCTCCCTCTGAGAGCCCAGGGCTCTGATTCTTCTATGCAGCCTTCTTTCACAAAGTACAGGGGTCCCTTCGTCCGATTAGACTGAGTTCTTCCTGAATTTTTTTCTTTTTCTTCTTTTTCTTTTTATTTTTTTACCCTGGGAGGCTTGCAATCTCTGCATCCCTCACAGGACTAAGCATCTGCTTCTGAAGGCATGGAAAATTCCAACAGGATAAACCTATCTCGTTTTTCACCATGTATTTACTTTAGGGCAGGTTATTTTCTTCTTGCCTCTTATTTTGCACACTTTTTTTTTTCACTTTCAGTAAAAAGTGTGAACAAAAGGAATTTACCCCCATAGGAAAAGATTGGGAGTAGGGAAAGGGAGAGAGCACCCCTTAGGAAGCCAGCTGTCCTTCAAAGAGTTTCATTATGTATCTTCCTCCAGCTACACCGCAATGTGGTGAACGCCACAGAAACACAGGGTTATTGTCACCAACTGCAGTTATTCAATTGCCACTAGGAGAGAGGACCCAGCAAGGAGACCTCAGCATATAATTAACTCGGATATTTTTTAAAAATTGAAATGAACTGTTGTTAGGTTCTAAATTGAGATGCAAGTTAATTATTTATGAATATTCATAGAAAACTTGAACAATTTCCAAACTTGGCCTTTAGTTTCTCATCAGTTAACCAAATAGTTGATGTGTATTTTTTCTGTAAGATAATTTTCTCTTAATGTGCACTGGAACTACCAACTTCATTAAGATTTTTGAGATTCATTTTGCCTTGTGATGAATCAAAAGGGAATGGACTTAGTAACAGAGAAAATAAAATGTTCATCTCTTATCTTTTACTTATACATAAGAGAAGAATGAAATGACACTCAGCAAAAATTAGTCAGTTATGGTAACAAAAAAAACTGGCATATTTGAGGAACATTCAGAAGAAGCAGATCAATGTTCTGTATGTGTATAGGGGGAAAAGGAGGAAGGGTAGGGAGTGTTTGGGGAGTGGAAGGTGGCCATAGATATGAAACCACCGAAAGAAGGAAGGTACCCAACTCCCAGGAACTTATTCCAGGTAATCATGTACCTGTGATGGGTTCAGGATATGCTTCTCCCAAATATGGCACCTTGGCATTTGAAAAACAAGAAGCAGGACAGTCGCCCTTACTTTCTTCTCACCTTTCTCCCTTAGAGCAGGTCATAAAGCCTAGGAAGGTTGCTCTCTAACCTTCTCCCACACTTCTCTGAAGCAGAGCATAAGAACCTAATTCCAAAAGTATCCTCCCTTGATCTGGAGGAAAGGAACATTCTTATTCCTGGAGACAGAGGGACACAAAGAAGGATCAGAGCAAACAGGCCTTGCTAAGCTCCCCCCAGTTTATTGCCATTAGATCACATTCCCTTCGTCTTTGCATACTTCCTCATAACTGTTCACTCTTCATCAAACCTAAGCATACAAATTTACAAGTTTACCTGTTTCTCTGGGCATTTTCCTTATGAAGGCTCCCATGTCACACAAAACTTATATTAAGCAAGTTTGTATGCTTGTATCTCATTAATCAATCTTTGGTGTAGAAGCCTCAGCCATGAAAATAAGTTTCTTCTGCCCTAAAGTGGCCACTATTCTCACTCACTCAGAACAGAAAGCTCCTGTATGTCCACAAGTTCTAGTGGACTGGGGCCCAGTCCACTCTACACATTTACACCTCTTCCATGCCCCTGCCACAAAGCCAGCTACTGAACTGGAAAAACTCATCTCTGCTGAAATAGTAACCAACCGCCACACTGGATTTTCAATTGACTGCAGCACTTCATCCCTAAAGAACAGCCAGCTATTCATTAGGGCCTCTCAAAAGGAAAGTTAAAATTAAGGACACACTGGATACCTCAGTTACGTCTGCCATTAAAGACAAAATGCAGCAAAACAAAATACTAGGATTAAAAGGACATTTCACGGATGCAATTAACTGACAAAAAACCATCCCATTACATGCCAGGGACTGCACTGGACACTGCAGGCAGAGTGCTAAGGATCATGTGTTGCCCTCAAGTATCTCACTGGCTGGTGGCTTTCACATGGCAATAGAACAGAGAAGCACATGGTGCCCAGAAGCTTGTCCCCACCCTGACCTGTGGGAGGTCCTGAAGGCTCTTATTTATTTATTTTATTATTATTATTTTTTGAGATGGATTCTCACTCTGTCACCCAGGCTGGAGTGCAGTGGCATGATCTCGGCTCGCTGCAACCTCCACCTCCCAGGTTCAAGCAATTCTCCTGCCTCGGCCTCCCAAGTAGCTGGGACTATAGGCGCATGCCACCACGCACAACTCATTTTTTGTGTTTCAGTAGAAACGGGGTTTCACCATGTTGCCCAGGTTGGTCATGAACTCCTGAGCTCAGGCAGTCCGCCCGCCTCGGCCTCCCAAAGTGCTGGGATTATAGGCGTAAGCCACCACGCCCTACCCCTGAAGTCTTTTTGAATTCGGAGAAAATTGGGGGAGGGTAACTTAGTGTCCTAGGGCTGCCTTTAAAAATCACCACATACTGGTTGGCTTTAAACAAAAACAATTTATTATTTCACAGTTCTGGAGGTTGTATGTCTGAAATCAAAGTGTTGGCAGAGTTGGCTCTTTCTCCAGGCTCTGAGAGAATCTACCGCACGCGTCTCTCCTAGCTTCTGGTAGTTGCTGGTGATCCTTGGCATTCCTCAGCTTGTGCATACCTTACTCCAGTCTCTGCATCTGCCTTCACTTGGCCTTCTCCCCTGTGTGTCAGGGTCTCTGTGTCTCTTTTCCTTTTCTTATAAGGCACCAGTGATACTGCATTTAGGGCCCACCCTAATCCAGCATGATTTCCTATTAACTAATTACAGCTGCAAAGTGTTCAATGAATGACTGGATAAACTGTGAGACCTATATATGTATGAATGTAAACACACACATGCATATACACAATGGAATATTATTTAGCCTTTAAAAAGAAAAGGATGCCATTTGCAACAACATCGATGAACCTGGAGGACATTACGCTAAGTGAAATAATTCAAACACAGAAAGACAAATACTACATGATATCACATGTGGAATTTTTTTTTAAGTTGAGTACATAGAAACAGAGAGAAGAACAGAATGGGTGGTTACCAGAAGCAAAGAGCAAGAAGAAAGTGGGAGAAGTAGCTCAAAGGGTACAAAGTTGCAATGATGTCGGAGAAGTCTAGAGATCTAATGGATAGGATAAGGACTAGAGTTAATAATCTTGTATTTCGTGCTGTAAACTTGCTAAGAGAGATTTTAGGTAGTTTACCTTACACACACAAAAAAGGAATTATTTGAGGTGATGGATATGTTCATTTGCTTGACTGTGATAATCATTCCACTATGTGTATCAAAATATCCTGTTGCACTCCTTAAATATGTGCAATTTTAAAAAGACTTACTTCCTAATGAGGTAACATTCTGAGGTGCCTAATATACATGAATTCGGGAAAGACACTTATTAACCCAGTTTAGGGACATTTCAAGCAAGGATACCAGATGACTGAAAATATCCTAAGAACTTCAGGTGGTTCCTTGCAGTTACAGGGTAATATGCAAGGGAAATGAGGAGAAAGAGTTGGAAAGAGGCTAAAACAAATCAAAAAGTTCCTCTTGTTAGGTATTAAAGACTTCAGATTTTCCACTGAAAGGTGGTAAGAAAAAAATAAGTGGGTTTTAAGCAGGTAAGTGTTAGAAACACCACTACCACTCTGGCAGGAGTATAGATATTTGGAAAGAAGGGAAATTAGAAGCAAAGATACCAGTTAGAACACTTTTGCAGTAATGCAAGCAAGATAAGACTTTATAATAACATAGGCCTGTGAGGATGAAACGAGGAAATACATTTGAATTTTAAAAACAAAATTGTAATTGACAGAATTTGAGTGGATAACATTAACAAAACACGTGTTGTTGAAGAATGAACATGATGAAAGCTGATGAGATTCCCAGACTTGACCCAGAAATCTGGCCTGAGCAACAAGGTTGATCATCATGTCATTAAGGAAAGTTGGTAATCCATTTTTAACAGGAAGCTAACTTGAATATATTGGAAATTGGTGTGTGTGTATATGTGTGTAAGTTGTGTAAGATTTTGTATAAGAGAGGCTGGGACAGAAATGCAGTTTTGGAGGAAGAAGCCTCAAATTAGATTGAGCTCCCTGAAAAGGTGAGAGTAGCTGTCCAAGATGGAAGAGAGAGCTGGAAGAAGCAGGAGATGGATCTCAGTGCCAGCACTGAAGAGAATTCACAATGGGACTGAGAAATTCAAGGAGGGAATGCAAGGGAAATCTTCACACAGCGACTGAGGCCCCCTCTCCTGACACTTGGCTGTAAAGGGCAATGGAGGCACAGGGCTGGTTGTATTGGGAATATTGGGGGAAAAAAAGAAGGACGCTGTTGAAGAATAGGATGATGTTTTTGTTTCTTTGTTTAAAACGAGAGTGAGTTAATCCTTTTTATGTTACAGATATGAAAAGCCTTCATAGAGGAAGAGGATGAAGGGGCAGCATAAAGAAGGAATAGTCAAGAATGTAAGAGAAGGAAATCAAGAACAGGAGTTGAGCCTTTCTCTATGCCTCTAAAACAAGCCCAGCAGTGGGGCCCTGGTTATCTATCTAAAAGTTGTTGGAAGGAAAGCATAAGATAATGATGTGGCTCACTCGCTGCAAATGGTCTACCCTCCACCTCCCAGCTCCTCCATTGATCTCACTGAAAGAAAAGATTGCTGGCTCGTCAATGATAGTGGCTCTGGCATGTGCAAAGCTGGCTTTGCTGGGGAAGACACCCCCTGAGCCATGTTTCTCTCCATCGTCAGGTGCCCCTGGCACCACAGTGTGATAGTGGGCATGGGCAAGAAGGACTCCTACATGGGTGACAAGACCCAGAGCAAGCCAGATGCTGACCCTGAAGTACCCCATCCAGCACTGCATGGACACCAACTGGGGCAACATGGAGAAGATCTAGTACCATACCTTCTACAACAAGCTGCGCATGGCCCTGGAGGAGCACCCTGTGCTGCTGAGGCCTCCCTGAACCCCAAGGCCAATAGAAAGAAGATGACTCAGATCATGTTTGAGACCTTCAATACCCTGGCCATGCATGTGGGCATCCAAGCTGTAATGTCCCTCTATGTCTCTGAGTGCACCACTGGTATTGTCATGCATTCTGGAGATAGGGTCACCCACACAGTGCCCATCTATGAGGGCTACACCCTTCCCTAGCCATCCTGTGTCTGGACCAGGCTGGCCGGGACCTGTCCAACAATTTCATAAAGATCCTTACGGAGCACAGCTACAGCTTCACCAAAACAGTCGAGAGGGAGATCGTGCGTGACATCAAGAGAAGCTATGGTATGTTACCCTGGACTTTGAGCAGGAGATGGCCACCACTGCATCCTCCTCCTGGAGAAGAGCTACCAACTGTCCAATAGCCAGATGATCACCATTAGCAATGAGTGGTTCTGACGTCTGGAGGCGCTGTTCCAGTTCTGAAGATTATGCTAACTTAATAAAATAAAAATAACCTAATAACTCCACCATGAAGTATGATGTGGGCATCCACAAGGACCTGTACACCAACATGGTGCTGTCCAATGGCACCACCACATACCCAGGCATCATGGGCAGGTTGCGTAAGGAGATCGCCACCCTGGTACCCAGCACCAAGAAGATCACCTCCCTGCTGAGTGCAAGTACTTGGTGTGCATCTGCGGCTCCATCCTGGCCTCGCTGTCTACTTTCCAGTAGATGTGGATTAGGAAGCAGGAGTACCATGAGTCAGTCCCCTCCATCATCCACTGCAAATGCTTCTAAATGGACTGCAGGCAGTTGCTTGTAGCATTTGCTGCATGGGTTAATTCAGAAGT